>NC_000001.11:56978077-57129592 GCF_000001405.40 Homo sapiens | reverse complement strand
ATGCTCACAAACAGGAAGCAGGGAGTGTCCTCTTCTTTTTCCTATTTTTTAATTTTGCATTTCTTTTCTCTACAATCTCTTCTCTCTAGACCACCCCCATACTCTTTGTGTATTATATTCAATGTTCAGGGCTTCCACTGGCCCATGGCTGCCCCAGATCTATTTTAATGTCAAATAGATAGAACCTTTAAGGGGAAAAATTGGGTCTCTGTGTGGTTAGTGTCTTGTTGGATGATACGGGATTTTAATTTATCACAATAAAAAAAATCAATTCGTAGCCCAAATCAACATATTTTTAGAAATTGGCACTGTCAGGAACCTGCCTCCATGAGATAATTTACAGGACCAAGTCTATAATTCATGACAGGGGAAAAGGGATGTTACAATGCCCTGGAAAGTGAGACCATGAATGTTTCCAAGCAGATTTGGTCAACTCAGAAATTTTCTTGATGATTCCTCTTATCAGTCTTGGTCTTTAAAAAGGTATGGTGGTAGTATTTTCTAAGCTAGTTGCTTTTACATGCTTGGCCTCGTTTAACTCAATCCTCTAAGCGCTCAACTAAGAAGCCACTCCTCCCATTAGACAGATGAGAAACTGAGACCCAAGGGGTTAAGCAACTTACACAAGAACAAATATCCAGTACATTGTGGAGCTGGAAACTGATCCCCAGATGATATGGTGCTAAGGCCCATGTTCTTTCCAGTTCCAGGCGGTGGCATCTCTCCCCTTCATGGGCATAGTGAGGGCCTCTTGCAAGCAAGTGATCATTTTTCTGCTCACCAGGGGAGAAGTCAGACTGCACTTAGAGTTGTCAGCATGCATACAGGCCCTGTGACTGAAGATTTACAGTGACTATTTGGGCCTCTGAAGGGATGTGGGAGGCACTAGTCTCAAAGATCCAGAGCCTCAAATTGCTGGATGACCTTGGGGATGGCTCATCTGCTTGCTGTACGGGCCCCTGTTTCCCCATCTGAAAACCAAGGGTCATATGGCATACTTTTTTTTAAAGGGCCAGATGGTAAATATTTTAGGCTCCGAGTGTTATACAGAGTTTAAGTAGTGCAACTATTTAATTTTGTCACTGTGGCATCAAAGTCACTGCACATGATATGTAAACAAATGACTGTGGCTATGTTCTAATAAAACTTTATTTGTAAAAATAAAGGCATCTGCTGACTCTGTTCTGCTTGATTATTAAGGATTCTTCTAATTTTCTCATTGTGATCCCACGATGGGTCCATGAGCCCTTTGGCATTGGGAGATGAAGACTAGGTGAAAAGCTATGGTTTTTTATCCTTTGTTCACTGCTCTTTTGTGGCTGATTTTTGGGATGAGTGATGAGTGTAGAGTGTTTTATATGAACTTTCAAGATAAATATTCATCTCTAAAGAATTGTATTATTTATTTATTTATTTATTTATTTATTTATTTATTTATTTTTATTTTTTGAGACTCTCACTCTTATCTCCCAGGCTGGAGTGCCATGGCACGATCTCTGTTTGCTGCAACCTCCACCTTCTGGGTTCAAGCGATTCTCATGCCTCAGCCTCCTGTGCAGCTGGGATTACGGGCGCATCCCACCATGCCGGCTAATTTTTGTATTTTTAGTAGAGATGAGATTTCACCATGTTGGCTAGTCTGGTCTCGAACTCCTGACCTCAGGTGATCCAGCCGCCTTGGCCTCCCAAAGTGCTGGGATTACAGGTGTGAACTACCACGCCCGGACAGGAGTTGTATTATTTATTGCTACCATTTGTTGAGTACTGATTGCCAGGCATGGTGCTAAGTACGTCATATAAATTTTTGTCATTGAATTATTACAATACAACTATTAATTACATGTTATTGTCCCCATTTTACAGATTAGGTGACTAAGACTCAGGAAGGTTAGGTCACTTGAACACAACTACTCTTAAATTTTTATCTATTTATTCAAAAGCTACTTATTGAGCACCTACTGGGTGCCAGGGAGTGTTCTCAGGGATTTGGATACATTGGTGAACTAAATGAAGGTCCCCACTTTGTGGAGTTTACATTCTAAGGTGGAGAGACAAAAAAGAAAAAATAGACATACATAAATAATATACTCTGTTAGAAAATAATCAGTGTTATAGAAAAGGAAAAAAGCGAGGCAAGGTCAGGGCATTTTTCCACTGTACTTCCTTTGTCCTCATGAAAGGGCCTGTGACATGTGTGCTTTGTAAATCACAAATATTAACGTGCTCTGGGAGCTTCCTGTAACTTTGAGGGTCAACTGAGTAATGGAGAAAGACGCTTCTGAAAATTCTCATCCAAATTCCAGAGGCTGTTACACTTGATAAATCCGAGCTGTCCACTTGGGTGTCTCTGCTTTTATTTAGATGGCTGATTGCTTTATATGGAGTCTACTGCTTATTGTTTTTCTATCTCCCTCATTTATTTTAAATTTTAATTTAAAACTCATTTTCCATGACTGTGCCGTGGTTATTTAATAGGTGCTTCTATTTTTATGAAGACACTCCTTGCAGGAGCTATTTGTATCAAAATGATGATACTGTAATTAGGCACAGCACTGCTATGATGATTCTTTGTGAACCTCTCAAGTGCTTTACAGTGATGGCCAGAGGTGGAGAAGCAATCATAGTTCTGGTTACAGTAAAGGAACGTGGTGTCATAGAAAGCAAGGGACTGGGTCAAAGTGAGAAGAGATAGTGAAATTCGTCTTTTAGTGGGGAGAGTTGTGCTGAGGAAATGCAGGCTGGAACCTGGGGACAGGGTGATGGAGAGGAGCCCAGGGACTGGGTAACCAGGATTGAGCCTGGGGGCTGGGTGACCAGTGTTGCAGACAAAGGGCTAGATTTGCCATTAGCAGGCCTGAATTTGAAGAGTTACTTGTTAGAAGTATGCATATTGAACTGCAATGAGGAAAACGCCAATGAAAACAATAGTAATGATAATGATCACGCTTACTATTTTGCCAGATCTTGCTGTAAGAGCTTGACATACGTGTCATTTCATACTTGATGAATCACTGAACCTCTTAGCAGCTCAGTGTTCTCCTTTGGACTATGAGAACATTAATTAGCTAGCCACAACAATTTTGGGAAATAGAGGTATTATCTCTTTTTTGTGGAATATAACGCCAAGGTTCAGAGAGGTGCAGGGGCTTACCAAGATGTCTCAGCCAGTGAGGGGGTGCCCTGTCCACTACATTGTTTCATACTGCCCCTGTGTGCCTGCCAAAACAAAGAAATGGGTATGGGTGTATCCATTCTGTTCCAGATGTTACCTACAACAGAACGCTTCAATGACTGATTGGTTTCCTTTCTGTACTAAAGTTACTAACTATACATACTTAATTTTTGATTCTAGAATTAACAGTGAGATGAATTTAACACCTTCACATTTTTAGATCCTATAATCAGTCACTACTTTTTTCTTGGAATTTTCACTGTTTTTCTTTAAAATAAGAATAACCATGCCAAGCTGGTAAAGTCTCTGCATGCTCTTCTATTTGCGATATGAAAGATGGGGAGAATTTTAAACAAAGAGAAACAAAAATGCTAGACTATATGTGACTTGAGGGCAGGGTCCATGATTTGGTCATCCTTGTATCTCCTACCTCCTGGCATGTGATCAGCTCCTAGTAGATATTTGTGGAATTGCACTGAATTTTTCGTTGTAAAAGTCAAGAAGCCTCTGGTTCACCTCTTTGTCTAGCTATGCCTATAAGCCTTTGATTGCTGTGGGTGGCATCTGAACTCTAAACTACCATCTCCCTGAGACAGAAAATGGCATCTCCACCACCTCTTCTGGTGGGCTTCAGTGATACAACCCACTTTATTCCAGCCACGTCTGTCCTTCTCAGGGTTCTTTCAATTTGTCGATGAGTAGAAGGTTGCATAAAATGTATTAAAGCTTGTGTATAATGTGTTAAATCTCAACCTTTGGTCTTATTGATGATCTTAATGCATAGGTAACCCATTTTCCCCTCATTTTTCTTTCTATTTACCCATCCATCTAACTTGCCTTCTTCCTTTCCCTCATCCTTTTCTCCTACTTTCATGTACATGTAGATATACTCACCTTTTTTATTGCCATATGTATTTTTTTCAGAGAGATTATATGATACCTACTATGTATAAGATATAAAGTATAACCTGCTATAGAAGAAGTATAATATCTTATGCAGATTGACAGGAAAGGAAAGTAGGTACTATGTATGGAGCACTACACTAATATTACAGTGTAAGTTCCTGAAGGACAGAAACTCTGCCTGATTATCTCTGCAGCATATGAGTCTCACCTCTTTCATTTATCCTGTGCCCTGCCAGAGGAGGGAGCCCTCCCCAAGGGCGGGAGTCCCTTCAGGGACCTATGGGGTCTGCGCCTCCAAATTTTGATGCCTGTGTACCCCAGGTCCTGGAGCATGTATACGGAACATGTGTAAGGATGAACTGAGGGATGAGAGGGAAAAAATTAGCCTAGCAGAGCTGCTGAGATGGTGAGAGATGAGCTTGGGGTTGTCAAATCTTCTGTGCTATGGTGACTGTGCTGAGTAAATTATGCACACTGACTCATTCTGTCCTCACAATCACACTATGAACTATAGATATTACTAACGCCATTCTTCCACACAAAGCAAAGAACATGAGGCATGAGGCCGGGGTTGGGGGGTGGGAGGGACAGGCATTCTGAGCACTGAGGACAAAAGACAGTGATTTTTTGATGCTGACTCAAGCCTCAAGCCTGACAGTCTGTCTGATGAGCACAAAATCAGATGCAGTATGCAGCCATTTCAGCCCTAGGCAGCTTCTGTATTATGGCTTCAGCCAAATATTTCTATTGTGATCACCCCAATTCTCAGTCCCATCTGCAGGAGCCTCATTCATATAGTTCAGGGATTTACCTGCCAGACTAGATTTGACTTCTAAAAACTATTTAGAAAATTAGGAGATTGCAAATCTGCAAGAAATTACCAGAGAAGTGTGGCCTCAATATTTAAATTAAAAATGCCAGCAACTCTAAAGCCTGAGATCTGAATCTTTCATGATGTCTAAGAGATGTGCAGACATTTTAAAGTTATATATTTAAAATTTTGAAAATAAAGATTTTACTGGCAATTGTCTAAACTCAAGACAGTTATAACCTCACTTTTGAGGAGAAGATAGTTCATCTTCCATATAAATGGCTCCAACGAGAGTGTCTGAGACTCTGAGATACTGAGATGCATCATCTCATGACTCTGACTGTGCTGTATGATATATTTACCCATGTGAATAGACACGCATACTCTTTCATATTAATTTCCATGCTGTCAAAGTCTGTGTCTATATTTTCACTCCTTTATCTGTGTCCTATGGTACAATCACCTTTGCACTGAACAAAAACTTCTTCATCTGATACAATAATAAAAGGAATGTCTTATGTTTGGGAATCTTTTTTTGTTGTTTTCAAAGTACTTTCACTTTTTCCTTACCACTGATCCTCACATTAATCTTACAAGATGCATATGACACATGCAGTTTTACTGGTGGTAGACCTGAAGCTCAGAGTGCTTAATTGCTGGCCCAAAGTTACACAGTGGTAGTTGATAGAGCCTGGTCCTTATGCTTTTTTCAGTTTATAAAAGTATTATATATTTATTGTAGAAAATTTATAAAATGTAGAAAAGTCATAAAGAAAAAAACTGCAAATTATGTGAAATCTCACCACTTAGATATAAACCCAATCAAGATTTTTTTGTGTATATATCACCATTCTTGTTTACATAAAAATAATTTTTTCAAAGTTGAAATTAAACTATACACGCTGCTTTGTAACCTATTTTTTACTTATCCACATTTTTCCACTAATTATTCTTCTACAACAATATTTTCAATCAACATAAAGCATTCTAGCATAGGAGTATACCATAATTTAGTAAAAACCATATTGTTAGCCATGCAGGTTTTATCTGTATCTTTGAGCACAGCTTTGAACACTACTGTCATTATTTCCTTCATTGAAATTCTAGGATTACTAGGTCAACATGTGTGGATATTTTTAAGGCTCTTGGGCTTTTTTTGATCAAATTATATTCTAAAAAGTTGTACTGCTAGATGTATGATGCCGTCTGTTTTACCACATATTTGCCAGCATGGAGTATTGTCATTTAAAAAAAATTAACTTATTGATATTAAACTTTAGTTTGAATGCCTCTGTCCTAATTTCAGAATCTGCTCATAATGGTCACTATAGGGCAGCAATATAATTGTAAAGTAGGGCTTTTATACTGATGAGACTAATGGTCCTTTGGCTTTACCTACAAATCTGAATGACGCCAAAGGATATTAAGAATTGACTGAAGTTGGATTTCTCTTAGGACTTGGCCTATCATTCCCAAGGTGTTAACTGCCTGGACTGCCAATATTCCCATAGTCATACATTTTCACTGGCCTATGTTCAGGGTCATATTGTTGATTCTCCACGTATGCATAAATGTCACCAAGAGGAGAAAACTTGACAATCTTTATTACTATAATTTAAGATTTCTGATCATTGGCTTTCAATGAAAATAAAATATATTTATATATTCTTTTCTTTGCATAAAGCTGTAGTATCTTGGGCAAGTAATTTCACCTCTCTGAGCCTAAGTTTTCTCCATTATGGGATGGAGAGGGGCATGACTCAGGCGCTCTTTGGAGATATTTTGCAAAAATTCAGGGAGAGAGAATGCACATTAAAGTTCTTGGCACTTTATAAAATTCTCCTTGATGATGTGCATTATTTTTTTCATAAGAAAAGAATAAAGTTAGCTTTCCACAAATATTTATTAATGAATAAGCTCCCCCTTCCTTGTTCTTCATTCTAGTAATTTTGTATAATTTATGGAGAACAGGTTTATTGAAGAAAGGGAATGTGGCCCAGATTCTGTCCAAATTTAGAATTAGTGGGATCTGAAATAATGAGATTTTTCTGTAGCCTCTTTCAGGATAGCTCTAGTATTCCCATGGCACTCATCAGTTTGGTTTTCCACCTACAGTATCTCTATTCCTGCAGTCTGGATGAGGTCTTCTAGAGAACTGAATGCACCTTAAACCTCTTGAGGTTATTTCTCTAACCTCAGAGTATTTTCTGAACAAATCTGCCTTTGCCTTTATTTCTTCTTATGAAAGTATATGAACATGTTTGGGAGAGCTAAGGCTAAATATTCCACAGGGTGTAAAATCCCATCCTTAAAAACCAGAGCTCCCATCAGCACCTTGAAGTCATTTGTTTTTCTTTTGCTGACACTCTCATCTGTAAAAATAAAGTTATTCTATCAAACATTTACTGAGCATCCAATGTGTACCAGGCACTGGGATATGAAGATGAATCAGAGAAGCCTCTTGCTCCACAGGCTTCATAATCTAGCAGCCGAGTAAACAGCCAATTACACAACAGTGTGATAAGCAACATCTTAGTGTGGCTGCCTCTCTTCAAATTCACACATGTGCCTCTCTCCTAATGACCTATCAAGCAAAGCAAAGGGAATCATTCTCATTAAGTAAGCAGATGATATTTAATTGATCGTACAGGCAATGTTTGCAAAATAGAGATATAATACAGAGACACTATGTAGAGAAGAAACTCACAGAACTGAAAATATCGGAGGGGCTATGAAAATGATCTCAGCCTCATCTCCGGCTGACCCCCCACAACCACAGAAAACCACTTTTTTTTTTAACTTTAAGTTTTGGATACATGTGCAGAACATGTGGATCTGTTACACAGGTACACATGTGCCATGGTGGTTTGCTGCACCTACTAACCCGTCCTCTAAGTTCTCTCCCCTTGCCCACCACCTTCCTAGCCAAATGCAGAAAACTGAAACTGGACCCCTTCCTTACACCTTATACAAAAATTAACTCAAGATGGATTAAAGACTTAAATGTAAAATCCAAAACCGTAAAAACCCTAGAAGAAAACCTAGGCAATACCATTCAGGACATAGGCATAGGCAAAGACTTCATAATGAAAACCACATTCAGTTCTAAAATGTGCCGGGTTTTCTTTTTTCTTTTTCTTTTTCTTTTTTCATTCAGTGAACATTTATTAAGCAGTGTTTCTCAAGTGAAGCATAAATTAGCATTTCCAGTTGGGACAATTCCTTTTTTGCAAGGCTGCCCCATGCACTGCAAGACATTTGGAATCCCTTCCCCCACTTCCCTGATGCCCTGTGCAGATACCAAAAGACATCTTTCATAGTGACAAGCAGAAGGGTACTTTTACATATTTCCAACTCTCTCCCTGATAGAGAGAGTGAGGGAGTGAGGGGTCCTGGTCTTGTGTGAAAGCCATTGGATAGCAAATATGTTCTTTGCACAAGTATGCTTCCTCCTCTTCCTCTTCCTCTTCTTCTTCCCCTTCCCCTCCTTCTCCTTCTTCTCCTTCTCCTTCTTCTCTTTCTTCTCCTTCTCCTCCTTCTCCTCCTCCTCCTCCTCCTCCTCCTTCTTCTTCTCTTCTTCTTCTTCCTCTTCTTCTTCCTCTTCTTTTCTGCTTAGGACATTCTTCTCCTGTCTCCCCTACCCACTATCTCTTTGCCCCTTCCTTTATCTGGCTGACTCCACTTTATCCTACAGACCTCTCAGCTCAGGCACTATTTCCTCAGGAATTCTTCCCTGATTGACAAACCTAGGTTAGATATCTCTCTTTTGTCCTTCCACACACCAGCCACTTTTGTTATAGTGCTTATTAAATGTGCTGTACAAGGTGGAAGCAACCCAAATGCCCATGGATGGATGAGTAAACAAAATGTGCTATACACATGCAATGGACTCCTACTCACCCGTAAGAAGGAAAGAAATTCTGACACATGCCTCATTATGGATGAAGCTTGAAGACATTATTCTAAGTGAACCAGTCACAAAAGGGACAAATATTATATGAGTCTTCTTTTATGAGGTTCCTATGGTAGTCAAACTCATAGAGACAGAAAGTAGAATGATAGTTACCAGAGACTGCAGGGAGGAGGGAATGGGGAGTTAGTATTTAATAGGTACAGAGTTTCAGTTTGGAAAGATGGAAAAGTTTAATGGATGGATGGTGGTGATGGTTGCACAACAATGTGAATGTACTTAATGCCACTGAACTGTACACTTAAAATGGTAAAAATGGTCAATCTTAGGTGTATTTTACTGCAGTAAAAAATGCGTTATAATTGGGTGTTTAGTGGCAGCATACCTTCCTATGATTTCAGATCCCTTGAAAGCAGGAGCAGTGGTTTCACCGGTGTGTTCACAGTACTAAACCCTTACCTTGTAGATAGAAGGTGCTCACTTACAACAGTTACGTTGAATAAATGAATGAATGTAAAAATGGTCTCATTTCATTATATCAGACTAATATATTTCTTATTTTACAGATAAGAAAATTCAAATTCAGAGATAAGTAGTGACCTTACTGACATCACAGATAGTAGATGTTGAAGTCAGTTTTGAAACCCAGGTGTTGTCAACTCCAGCCCAAAAAAATATTCTTTCCATTGGGCTAGCCTTTATTTGTTGTCACTTTCTACACATAGCTGAAATTAGAGAAAGTAGAGGCAGAGAAATTCACCTGAAATGCCATATCTGACAATAAAAATGATTTTAGGAGACTAAAAAGAGGTTGGGAAAGGAAGAAAGAAAAAGAGGCTGATAAAGGATTTTCCCTGGGATATAGTCACTTTTCATTTGCTGTTTGTTTTTTCCAATCTCTTGTCATGTAACTGAAAGAACTGAAAATGGGGAGACTGATTGGGCAGTCAACTGTTTCCCAAGGTCGGAATCCCAATCTCTTAGGTAATTTAATCTGGAAGGGGGTTTTGCTGTAGGGAACCGCCCACATGGTTGGGGATGGACAAGATGATTTAATAGACCTCTTCCTGCCATAATTGCTAATCTTCCTTGTGGAAACCCCCTTCTCATGCTGCATTAAAGACTCCATTAATTTGTTTATATATAAATTCAAGCTACTTCAGTTCTGTCACACTTCTGAGAGGTTCCCATTCAAGAGTCTTTGGCTTGTACCACCCATTAGGATTTACTGATAAGAAAGATGCATTATACGTTTTATTACCTTGTCTACAGAGCACATGTGACAAATATAAAGTACATTCATGTATAGTATGAATAACTGTCAGGGTAATTGATAAAGTGGTCTGTAATAAAGGTAGCTGGAATGGCATTCCTAGAAGCTGAGGTCTCTAAGTGCTCAAGAGGAGGGGGGAAAGACACTAAATAAATCCAGTCTTTCAGAAATCACTGGCATTAAAAAAATGATAGCCAACCAGAATCCTTAGGCCTACATTTCACTTTCAAGTATAATTATTTTATGTTGTAATTCATATCTGCTGACACATTGGAATCAACTCAAATAAAGGAATGCCATAAATCTTGCATTGTTTAGATTAAGCAAGTTTTGGTGCTGGAAGAAGTCAGGGAGGGAACTGCCCTGTATGTAAATAGTTGAAGAGAATCAAATCACTGGAAAAGTTGTAGATCCAGTTGAGACAAGTGGTCCACCGGCAGTCTTTCAGCCTCAGTTTAAACATTCAAAGCTGCGATAGGCTTAGCACTTATCTTTGTAGGTGAATTATACCTGACCATTATAATAATATTCATAATAGTAACTGACACTGTCACTTACGGGCTTCTACTATATGTCAGCTACCTGTCTATACTGCTGTTCTATCATCATAAATGCGAGCTATTTCTAGCCATGTTATCTCAAGCATATTACTTAACTTGTCTGTACCCCAGATTATTCATCAGACAATGGAAACAGTTATAGTGTAAAATCACAGGTGTATTGAGAAGATTAAACAAGGTAATATATGTAAAGTGCCTAGAACAGTGTTTGGCATGCAGTAAGTGATCAGAAAGAATAAGCTAACATTGATCATTATTTCCATCTACAAATAAAAAAACCAGTCATAGAGAAGTTAAGGAATGTGCACAAGGCAGCTGATGAAGGATTTAAACCTGGGTCTTCTAGATTCCAAACTGTAAATTCATTCTACAACTTCTGCCTGCCTGCTACATTCTCTCCATGTTAACTTCATACATTGGTCCTTATTCTGACTTTTTTAGCATAGAAGGCAGGAGCTACGTATACATCCCTGTTAGTCTCCCAGTCTGTTTTAAGCTGAGGGAGGTGAAGATGGAATAATCTTTCTTGGTGGAATCTTTCACCTTAACTGGGATATGCTAGTATATGTTGTGTCTTAATACATGTTGTGTCTTGTCCAAACATGAATTATGTGGCCCCTTCAGACTTCCAATCAGTTTTGCAGTATGGCCTATACTTCCTTTTCCTTTCATGAAAATTTGTTGATGTTGTTACAGCAGCTCTACACTGTCATTAGAGAGTCTGTTCGAATGATGATAATCATTGTTGACACCTTCCATGGCTGTATATTTGTCTCCTCCAGCTGTTTTGCAATTAGACTAATCTTGTGAAATGGATAAAATATCAGAGAAGGAATCAGATCCAAGAGATACACCACCTCTATATGCTTATACCTATATGTCTTGTACTGAAAGATATATGCCAGCTCTTTCTCTGACTACCTGAGTATCCTTGAAAGTAAGTCACTGGGCTGTGTCCTCACTTCAGCCTGGCTGTATTCTTAGCCTTTGGCTCCTGATGCAGCAAGCCAGCTGAACACTAGGTCACAGAGTGTTGTGTTGAGGCAACGTCAGGACCAGCCTACCATCCCCCCTCCCCACACCCCCCTCAAAAATCCCACTACTTTCATGAGCCTTTTATAACTAGGACCAGAAGGGAAGTGGACTTCAACATTTTAGAAATATTTTCAGTGTGAGAGCACCAGTAAAACTGAGCTTAGAAACATAACAGCACCTAGACCCAATAAAAGATGAGTGGAGAAGATAACAAATTCAATACTGGCTCCACCTGTGAGCTACATTGTCTTGGCAGGTTTTACAAATGCCCTGGAACTCAGTTTCTTCATTTGTAAATAATGACATATACCGCACTGCACCGAGGGCTTGAATTGTACTATGAATGTTAGAAATGCCTTGAAAACTGCAAAATGCTCTGTTACTGCTAGTTGCCTCAAAAATGAAGAGATGGCATTATTTGAAAATAAAAATAGAAGTTCATAGGAGGGCTCCATAGCTCACCAGTTCTGTGATCTTGGGGACTTAATCAGCCTGAGCCTCATTGTCTTCATCTATAAAATGAGTAGCTTCATCTTAATTCTCCACACCTGCTTCGCAGAGTAGTTATGCGGCTCCAATGTGATATAAGTGAAAGTGTGTGTTTAAAAGTTGAACTCTACAGCCATCTGCAAATATTAGTCAGTATGTTTATTACAGAGATGGCCAGCCAGTAGAGTGTCTCCTTTGTCCTTGCCAATTGAAAAGCGCTTTTTTATATGCAGTACATTTTCCCATGTAAAAAAACCCTACTTTTCACTGCAAGAGTTCCAGCTTTTTCAGCCAAATTACTCTTCTCACCAATTCTGTATCTTAATTGGAGAGAGAATTGGAGAGCGACTAGGGAGGAAACAGAAGTCAAAGCCAGGAATCATCCAGTTTTTTCCATGTAGGTACAAATTAGAAGATCTGTGACTGTCTTCGACTCTCATTTTGCTGTCTGCTGGACAATGTTTGCAGAGTGCCGGGATGAAGTAACTAAGATCTCTATTCAGGATAAATGCTAGTTCTGCTTTGTACTGAAAGATATATGCCAGGATATAAAAAGAATTCTCTCCATGGTGCTCCTATTAATTCATAGCAGTTATAGAGAGCTGTAAAAAGCCACCTAATTACTTATTTCTCCTGCTGTATATTTCAAGGATGGCAGGTATCCTAGTAGATTCAAGGTAAATCTGGTATTGAAGCCATTGGGCTATAATCTTCTTTTTTTCCACCATCTTGTCTGCAAGAGACAATATTGGCCCTAAGAACATTTTGTCCTTGGGCTTCCTTTATCATTGTATGAGTTGGGGAGACACTGAACTGTCCACTTTGCTTCTGCTGGCCTCTGCTTGGCCACTTGGATAATAAAATGAGGACAGTGTATCTTATGGCTAGATATAGATACAGTTTGGAAAACACCAGAAAACACTGGGATAGCTTCTCCCAACCTGCTTTCTTTCTTTTTTTTTTTTTTTTTTTTTTGAGACAGAGTCTCACTCTATTGCCCAGGCTGGAGTGCAATGGCGTGATCTCAGCTCACTGCAATCTCCACCTCCCGGGTTCAAGTGATTCTCCTGCCTCAGCCTGCTGAGTAGCTGGGATTACAGGCGCGTGCCACTGGGCCCGGCTAATTTTTGTATTTTTAGTAGAGATGGGGTTTCACCATGTTGGTCAGGCTGGTCTCGAACTCCTGAACTTGTGATCCACCTGCCTCGGCCTCCCAAAGTGCTGGGATTACAGGGTGAGCCACCACGCCAGGCCTCCCAACCTGCTTTCTAAGCGAATCCACACTAAACTGCTCAGCATGCCAAGATGAGAAGCGTGTCCCCAACAGTTTTTGGACACAGTCTGTGGAGCTTTGGAAAGCCCAGCCACAGAGGTCACTGCCATGTTCATGATACAGGAGACCATAGATAGTAGGGACAGATGGACTGGCAACCCCACATCACAGCTGAACTATGGAGGCAGGAATGACTGTTTCTATGTCTCCTACTTGCTGAACAACTTTCCCCATGGCCTGATGTGGTTACATCATTTGTTTGATAATCAGGCCCTTTGAAGAGATGTTTCAACCCAGTCTAACTTCAGATCTCTTCCTTACAAGAACTCTATTCTTTTGAAAAATGCCCCATTTCCTTATTACCCAAAGCACAGCCAGGGCTTCCACAAGTTGGAGTGTTTTCACCTTTAAGAAGCCTGCTCAGAGAAGACCCCAGCTCATGTTGCCTTCTTCCTGAGCCTTTCCCAACTGAAAGCCCTCCTTTTCCTTTCTGAATACCCAGGAAGCCTCTGGCCATGCTTCTAGAACTGTGACATGCAATACAGTAGCCATTAGCCACAGGTGACTATTTAGATTTAAATTTAAATTAATCACAATAAAATAAAATTTAAGAACTCACTTTCTCAGTGACACTGGGCTCATTTCAAGCGCCACATGTAGCCAGTGACTCCTTTATTGGACAGTGCAAATATAGAACATTTACATCATCACACAAAGCTTTCAGACTGGGCTGTTCTAGAGTATGTCTCACTCTGTCCTGTGATGAAAATGCCCACTTCTTACTGAGGACCTTCTCTGTGACAACCCCATGCTAAGTACTTTATAATCCCCAGAACATTTCTAAAATTAAGTGTGATTTAATATATGAGAAACCCTGAGGCTTGGTGGTGATAGGTAACTTGTTCAGGATACAAAGCTGGTAAGTAGCAGAGCTGGGATTAGGCCCTGCATCTGTCTGCCCCGAAGCCTACCCTCTTAGCCACAATGCTACACTCACTGGAGATATCTAAGTCCTGCAGTAAATGCATTGCCTCCTGTGTTTCTGTTTAGCGTCTTCTGTGAGCCGGTGAGATGGAGGTGGAGCTGCAGAATGGGACTGGGCAGGTGCTGGCACTAGGGTGTGTTGAGGATGGTGTTGGCCATGCACTGCACACTTTACATGCATTTATTCAATTTAATTCTCCTAATAACCCCACTATATGGATACTATTATTATCTCTACAGATAGAGAAAGAAAAAAAAAGGACAGCTTACAAAGTTAAGCAACATGGTGATGATTAAGTGGCAGAGCCTGAAATGGAACCCAGATGGTCTGAATTCAGAAGTCCTTGTCATGACCACCAGGTCTTGCCGCTTCAACTCATCTCACTCTGATTTTAGTCTCACTCCAAACAGAAGGGTTCTCAACTTCTTTTTAATATGGAGGACCTCAGTGAATCCACTGCTTGCTTTGGGAAGGCAAACAGAGTAAAATATCTGAGTGAAACTGATGCTTCTGAGTGCAGGAGCTTATGTAGTCCCTGGAGAGCTGGCCTTGGTAAAGCCTCACCTTTTCCTTCATACTGAAGTGCTAATCGATGCAGCAAATACACCTGATTGACTTCTTGTCAGAGCCCCATTTTGCAACAATGGACAACATCTTCTGTAATTTGAAAACTGATTACAGACCTAACTATCCTGCTTTGCTTTTTTTTTCTTCTTAACATAAATGGAATTCTCTTTAAGAAAGAGCAGAAGCTTTTCCGGTTGATACTGATACATTTCCAAGGAGGTTTCTTTGCCAACCCCCTTTTAAGTGAATCTATTAAATTATAGTAACTGAACTTGAAGATACAGCAAAGAAGAAAATAGCATCATCTTCCTTCCATTTTCTTTCCTTAAAAATTCTGAGCCTAATAAAAAAGAAACATTCATAAACGGCGTTTGTTCCATTTTCTCGTATATCTGTAGCGGTCTATTCACAAACAAATTCTACCTATAACGTTGGTGCATCTGAAATCCTAAATACAAATTGGCTGGGGATGCAGATGAGAACATAGTGAGTGATCCCCAGTTCTACATTCATATTTTGGCCAGGGAAGGGAATTTAAACAAGGATCACCAAGGCAGGGAGACCAGGTCAGTTTCCATAGAAACTAATTCATACAGTGACTTTGAGGCATCACCAAAAACAGCAGGGAAGTGTTCCATCCTAGAGTTGAACTGTACTCTAAGAGTATGTGCATTTTGAATTATTTGGTCATCCTTCTCAAATAGTCCTCAGGAGTAGTGGTATTTATGAGTATTTACGAGAAAGATCACATGCTTTGGAATGAGAAAGGTCTGGATTTCAGTCAGTGCTATATATACCTAGTAGTTAAAAGAGTAGTCTTTAAAATCAGGCTGTAATGAAACACTTCCTGGATCTAGAGCCAGAGTTGACAAAACTACAATGGCTTATAGGCCAAATCTAGCATACCACCGGTTTTTGATTGCAAGCGTACATTTTTTAATGGTTGAAAAAATCAAAATGAAAACATTTCACATTATGCAAAAATTATATGAAGTTCAAATTTCAATGTCCATAAATAAAATTTCATGGCAATACAATCACACTCATCTGTTTACATATTACCTATGGCTGCTTTTGCACTATAAAGGCAGCATTGAGTTGTTGCCACAGAAGCAGTATGGTCCACAAAGCAGAAGAAATTTATTGTCTGGTCCTTTGCAGAAAAAGTCTGCCAACCCCTAATCTAGAATTTTAAAAGCTAAAATTACTTAAGGTCTTTGTACCTCAATTTCCCCATCTGAGAAATAGAGTTAATAATAGTAGCCAAGTCCTTAAATAGCCTCAAATTCCTCACCTATAAAATGGAGATAATAATACCTATTTTATAGGATTTCTAAAAGGATTAGTGGGGTAGCCTATCAGTAACAATAATGGCCAATTTTTATTTAGCATTTAATTGACAAATGTGAAAAACAAGACATGGAATGGTTAAGTGACTTGCTGAACCCACTCAGGTGGTAAGTGACAGAGCTGGGTTATGAAACAGGCCATTCTCAGAGCCTGTGGCTCAGCTCTAAAAACTGTCATCTAACCTCAGTGCCCTTCAGTGAGTGAGTCTGTTCACCCCCTTTTTCCTCCCCTTACCCCCACAGTGGTATGTTCCTCTTGCCTGTGTTTGCCACTGTTGCCATTCTATTTAATTTTGTTAGTCCTTCATGTTTCTGTCTCCAACATTCACTTAGAATTGTATTGTAATTGATTGAATGTATATTTGTCATCATTTCTAAAACGTGGTTTTCTTAGGCTTGGAAACTGTTTCTTTTCATCTTTGTACCCCCTACTGTCTAGTATGCCACCTGGCCCATTATTAGGGCTGAATTAGCATTTGCCAATTATCTGAATGAACAAATGAGTGAATGAACAAAAAAATTGATTCGTTTGTACATCTTCTTACATTAATCAAATTGAGCTTCTTTGGGTGATATTTATTAGTTATAAAACATTTGGTGTATAGCTGACCTGAAAGCTCATGTGCAAAGGAATTGTTACTCATGGGTAGCCTATGTTATGACTGGCCCCTTGAGTTTACAGGAAACTGGAGAAAAACACATTGGCCTCCTAGTTGAAAGAGACATTTTCAGCTTGCTCTCTACCTGGGCTTGGCAGCTTCATTCATAGTTACTCTTTGAAAATCCAGATGAATTTCTCACGTAGAAGACAGCATAAGGGCCCGCTAGGTCAGGAATTGGACTGCCCCATCTTGGTGATGATTCACCTGCTGGGCTGGAACAGAAGACCATTGTGGAAATTGACAGAGACCACAATAAGCTTCCCTGCATGCACTGACTCAGGAAGGCCTAGCCTGGAGATTCACAGTGGGAGTAACTGCAGCACTTACTCTGAAGTATGTCTTTGGCTGTCAGTCTGAACACAGGGCCTTGCAGCTATTCTATGCTCTTAGTCTCCTAGCTGGAAGCAAACTTCTAGACAGACATAAAGGAATGCTGAAATAAAACAGGTCATTTTCTTTCCATGTTTGTTTCTTTTTCTCTAAACCCTAGAGTAAAAGAAAATATGACAGCAAGAATGTCATAAGGACATCACGGACTTTTATGTGTTAGATACTTTTAATAATCCATAGTGTTTAATGGGAATATCATTATTCTTATTTGGCAGACATTGAAACTGAGGTTTCAAAGGTAGAAGTTATACATGTAGGGCATTTAGAGCCTAGAGCAAAATTTAAGTTCTTGACTCCTGAACACCTAACCCGACCTCACTACAAATGCATCCTAGACTTGGGGCAGAGATTATTTAGTCATTTATCTATACAGCAACTATGTATTGATCACCTATAATAAGCACTAAGGATTCAGCACTGAGTGAATAAGACAGGCAAAGTCATGACCCTTATTACTTTCTATTTTATTGGAAGAGTCAGGCAATAACCATGTAAATAAAATAATTTCAGATAGTGATAAGTACTGTGTAGTTTTTAAAAATTCGGGGTAATGTGATAGGGAGTGACTGGGAGGGATAGCAAAATTAGATGGGATGAGACAGGGATGGTGTCTCTGATAAGGGGACACTTAAGCTGAGAGTTGAATTCTAGAAGAAGACATGAATGAAAAAATTAGAGGGAAGGGTGTTGCAGGTGGACCAGTGCTAGCAGGTGCTTGTACACACAGGCAGAAATTGGTGTAGATAAAACAAGAGTTCCTTTCCTGGCTGGAGGGTGTGCCCCAGCCCTGATGTTGTAACAATGGCTGTGTTGTCTGGACTGTGTCATGACAGATCTGAAAACAGTGTCTGAACAGTAGTACATAGAAGTAGGTTACAGCCGGCTCTAAGAGTAACAGGCTCTGAATTTCCAAGATGAGCCTGAATTTAGAATATTTTGTCCCATTAGAACACTCACTTCTCTTGAACACGTGGCCTGTGAGGGCTGGAGAGGGGCTCAGGGTATGGGTGTGTCAACCTTTCCTTCCTCTGCTGGACAATTCCATTTCTTCCCATATCCGCCATCCAAGGCCCACCCATCCTTCAGGTCTGGCTCAAACGGCTCCTCTCCTGGAGACCTACCCTGGTTACGGCCCAAAGAATTCATCTTCTTTCCCTCACTCCCTTTATCTGCACTCTTTTGTTATTCTAAGCATATTCTTCTCTGTACTATATGTATTTCTGTTTATTCAATAATATATATTATATATATTTCTGTTTATATAAGCCTTGATATATAAATATCAAGGCTGGAGTTAGGCAGGATCTGGGTTTGAGTCTTAACTTTCTGATGTGTGATTTCAGGCAAGTTGCTCCATCTCTTTAGATCTCAGTTTTGTCATCTGCGAGTGGGCATAGCTATAGTGCCTGTAGCATAGGGTTATTCTAAGGTGAAAATGAAATAACGCCCATGAAGTACTGAGTTTATAGCAAGGAGTCAATAGATGTAAATGATTGCTGTAATAATGGTTACTGTGTGCCTCACGAAAGATTGTTTACTCTCCTTCATTAGGCTGAGGGTTTGAGAGCAGGAACTGTGTATCATCAACATTTATATCTGGATTATCTGGCCCAGTTCCTGGAATATAAGTAATGTTCACTAAATACGTTGAGTGAATCAACGAATTGTTTTTAATAGATGTAACCACTGCAACATTATAGAATTTCAGAGCTGAAAGGAACCTTGTTGTCACTGAATGAATTTACCTTCTTAATGTAAACAAAAGGAAACTGAGGCCAACAGATGTTAAAGAGTTGAGCCAAAAGTGACAAACCCCATTCATGGCAGATCTGAAAACAGTGTCCGGTTGCTTGCAGAACAGCATTGAACATGGAAGCAGGGTACAGCCAGCTCTGAAGGTAGCAGGGCTCCAGTTCTCCAAGATGAGCCTGAATTGAGAATATTTTGTACCATTAGAACACTCACTTCTCTTGAACATGTGGCCTAGTTTTTGTTTGTAAATGGTGGCAGAGACTGGTCTCGCTCATGTTTTTATTCCTAGCAGAGAGCAGACCCTTGGACAGAACAGATGCTCTATAAGCATGTGATAAATGAACAGACACATGTGGCCACTTTACTTATAGCCCATTAACATAAAGTGTTCATGTGCAAACTACTCTCAAGGTTGATCTCGTTATGTCTCCTGTGTCACAAAGCCCCTTTTGTAATCTCAGGCCTTGTCCTGTCCCCGTGGCCTGTCAAGGGAGGAAAGTGGTAAATTTCTGCTTCCCTGGGAGGTAACATGCATTGATCTAGCCATGATTTAAAGGCTTATGAGCATTCAAATGACACCTGGGGCTATTGATTTCAGAAGCACAACAGATTGAGTTTAGAAATCATTTAATGGTCTAAGATTCATGCAATCATTCGACAAATATTTAGGAACTCCTACTATGTGCCGGGTATGTTTTCCTATTCTCATCAGGAATAAGAGAAAAATAATAATGCCTCCCTCATAGGGTTGCTGTGAGGAGGGTTGGGTGAGCAATGCATCTGGATCACTGAGCATAAGAGCTGGCACATGATAACTGCTCAAAATATTAGCTAGCATTTACAAACTATATTCATAAAATTGTGGTAATAATTGCAGTGTTGAGGAAAAAGCAAAGCTACTACACCATACTTTGAATTCCCACATTGCAAAGCTGCTTCTCTTATTTTTTTAAATTCATACTCCAAGTTCCATCCATACCAGACTATTTGGGACAGCCCAGCTTTTCTGGAAGAGAGCCATGTTTGTTTTCCAGAGAGTCAAATCAAGAGGTCACTAAAAGAGTCTGCTGGGTGTTCAAAACGAAGCACTTTCCTTAACAAGCATGAATAAACTAAGGGAGTTTCTTGGAAACTCATGTCATAAATTGGGTGCCAGACACAAGCATGCTAGAACCCCAACATGAACTAGAGGAGAAGAGGACAAAGTCAGGATCAGGGTTCAGAGGTGAGTTGCCCCTGGCTGCTGGTCCTCAGAATGAGAGGTCTGGGGCTTGCTGGGTACCTGCTTCTCCAAAGAGGCCCCCTAGAAGCAGTGGGAGAAAGCCAGAGCAGAAGACAAATTTCAGTCCATCAGAAAGATCCAAATTCATATGCCAAATACAGACACCAAGTCCAAATGGCCATAGCAGGATGGAAGTCCCAGTTACTAAGCCAAAAACTCAGAGTTAGCTAGGGACGGTATTCAAAGTGACAGTACATCAAAGATGAACTGAGACACATCTCATGTGGTTCTCAATACCAGCCTTGGTGCAACCTGGCATGACAGTGACCAGTCAGGTGGCAGGAGTGGGGATGTGGCAGCCAGTGTCCTGAAGCCAGACATGACTCATTGTATTTAGTCTTCCTAGAAACACATTGCAGAAGGTACTATTATCATTTGTCCTTTCCGGTTGGAGATACTCACTGTAGGAGTTTCAACAGCTTACCCTACTTCACCCAGCTAGCAGCTGGTGAAGCCAAGAGTCAGGACCAAGCAATCTCACTCCACAGTCCACTCTCTTGACCCTCATACTGGACTTAGGGAGTTCATATTCATATTCTGGGCTAAGTACTGGGCTAAACATTGAGAAGGTTGTCTTAAGCAAGACGATGCCCTGCCTCAAGGAGCTTACATTTTAATGAAGGAGATAGGACAATAATAAATAGCTAAAAGAGTAATGAATGGTGGGAAATGTAGAGAACAGTACTGTGGGGATGAGTAGGAAGAAGCTAGCCTGGTTAGAGGTTCAGGATAGTGACGTGCAGGGTAACATCCTAGGGTGAGAAGGAACTGCTGCATGGAGCAGAGAAAACGTGTTCCAAACAGCTGAGTGCAGGTAGATAAGGCCAGTAATCTGGTAATGAAAACTAGTAATGAAACGTTTCTGGGATGTGAGATTGACTTATAAGAATTCATTTGGATTAGTCATTTCTCCTTACCGAATTTAACAAATATGTCTCTCAGTGAGTCCTTGGAGCAATTTGCTCTGAGGCTGCTAATAGGCTCATTTGGGGATAATATATTGTGCTGGGATATTTTGCGTTTTTACCCTACAGCCTTGATTGGAGAGGCTGTCAGAAAGTCATTCTTTACAAGGACCACACATATGAATTCAGAAAGATACAGGAAAAAAGACATAACCAAAGCTGACACTGAATAGCAGGGCCTCAGGGAAGAAATGAGATGGGATGCAAGACCATCTACCAAGTGCCAGGAATGATGCATCTATTATTTCATTTAGTCCTCCCACACACTCTGTTGAGTTAGGCATCATTATCCCTATTTAGAGATGAAACAGAAATGCACAAGGCTCAGTTGCCTTGTCCAGGGTCACAAAGCTTGGGAAGAAGCAGAGGTTGTCTTCCAAACCAAGACTGTCTAGACCCAAACCTGGGCTGCTCCTGCTTCTTTCTGGTTTCATTCAAGCAGTAGGACTATATACTTTAGTGTTCTTACAAAGGAATCTTGTAAGTTCAAATTGTGAGCCAGCACAGAAAGAATCCTTCAGCTTTCTGGACCTACATTTACTCATTTCTAAGGTCCTTCAGGCTTTAAAATTTATATTCCATGGGCTGTTGGTCCTCAGTTCTGGTCTGGACTGATCCAAGCTTTTTTCCACAGTTGTTCCTGCAGGACGGCACGTATCACACTGTGTTCTGGGTGGGGGTATCCCTGTGGCTCCTCCTCTTTAATTCTAGAGCTCCTTGAGTGCTGGTTCTCTATGTTCCCCTAAAACCTATCACAAGGTCCAGCATATAATAGGCAGCACTCTATATTATGTTGAGATGCTTGATGGGTTGATTTTTTTTTTTTTTTTTTTTAATGAAACAGAGTCTCAGTCTGTCACCCAGGCTGGAGTGCAATGGTGCAATCTCGGCTCACTGCAACTTCCGCCTCCCCGGTTCAAGCGATTCTCCTGCCTCAGCCTCCCAAGTAGCTGGGATTACAGGCATCCACCAACATGCCCAGCTAATTTTTGTATTTTCAGTAGGGACGGGGTTTCACCATGTTGGTCAGGCTGGTCTTGAACTCCTGACCTCAGGTGATCCACCTGCCTCAGCCCCCCAAAGTGCTGGGATTACAGGCGTGAGCCACCATGCCTGGCCTGGGTTGATTTTTTTTAATACTTGGGGAAATCTTTTTACGTACTATGCCTTCATCACCTTATCTATCAATTAGAGATATCAACACAATGATGCCTGAAGTTGTTTCCAGCCTCATGATAACCTGACCACCTATCTGTAGATAGAACTTTCCCTGAGACCCCAATAGATGTAGCTATTGCTTCATCTGTGCTATCTCCTACTTTGTATCTGTTTTTATTTTTTTATAATGTGTTTATTTAGCTGGATCTCTCCCTCTATCAATCTGTGAGTCTTGAGGGCAAGCACAGGGTATGATTTATCTTACTTTCCATCAAGTTTAAGATACAGAAAGGGCCGGGGACATGAAGAATGAGTGAATACTATTCCTTTATTACTTCATCAATGTTGTGTCTTTAAATAGCTGTACCTTTTCCTACGGTTGGATCAAAGGGAAACCACTTTATTTCTCAAGCATTTTCATAATCTTTGAAGGCCTTGTGATATATGAGTGAAGATTCAAATTTGTATGATTTCCAGTTCTACATGGGCCTCCCTAGACAAGAAACAGAAAGGAAGCAAGCTCCACCCCATCAACTGGATCCCTTTGGGACTGATCCAGACCCACATACATCAAAGATGGGTTATGCTTGTTGTTTATAAAAGAGCTGTGCACCCCGCCAAACTTGGGAAATGACCTAAAATCTGTGATGAAGCATTTAAATTGGGCAAACAGAACACCCGCTCCTTCCACCCGCTGTGTAGAGATGGACTTAATGAGCCTGTGTCTTGTTGAGATTAAAGGAACTAAAAATTCCCCCCAAACATTCAATGCAGAGATAATACTGATGGGGGGGGGTGTTAGGGGGATAAATGAACAGGAGGAAAGATTTTGAAACATCAAATAAAATAGCAGGAGCTCTATGTGCCATTTAAGATCTCGTTTCTGTTTCAGAAAAGGTTAACCCGATGTGATTATCGTTGCCTAAGAGAAAGGGAGAGAAACTATTAGGAACTGAGCACCTGCTAGGGGCCTCACAAGACATGACAATCCAGCAAAGTAGGTTTTAGTCTTTGCATTTGACAGATCGGGATCCCGAGGCTTACAGAGGTTAAGAGATCTGCTTGGCCTCACCCAAGACAGGAAGCATCCAAGCCTGGATTCAGACTCAGGGCCCCCAGCTCCAGGTTCATGCTGTTTCCCACAGTCAGTCAGAAAGGACCATCAGTGATAGGATCCAGGTCCACTTTCCTCCAAACCCCATGTATGCCCTAAAAGGAAACCACATCATTCATAAAATTAGAACATGAAAATAAAAAAGGAAAAGGAAATAAAAGAAGAAAACGTTAAGGAAAATCAAAGTGGCATAGCAAAATCATGCTGGGTTCTGGAGGCTGTCTTTGCAGACTGTTTAATTGGCATTATATTTTGAGGGTTAGATTAGAGGAAGAAGAAAAAAGACAGTGTTCAACCTGATTTACATGAAAATGAGAAGAAGGGAAAAAAGTGGGGTATTAAAATGTGTGAGTTGAATCCTTAGATCTCTGCATCGTGAATGGCTCACGGTAGAACTTTTAAATTGGCTACATTGCTTTAATTGAAATACAGAATTGTAATAACACAATGTGACAGGCACCTACTAAGGGCGACTGCGGCTGCTCCCACCTTTCCTTGGAGCAGCAAACAACAGGGGGATGGAAAATACACACACACACAGACACACACACACACCACACACTGGGAAGCGCTTGAAAGGGCTTTTTCTCTTCTGGGCTCTTTGAGGTTTGCTTTTTTGAAAAATGCATTTTTTTTTCATTTGCTCCAGGGTCCAATTAATTCACACCACCCCACCCCCAATCCCAGTGTGTTCTTGCCATAGAGGTATTTTGCATTAATTAGGGTGTTTGCTGTTTACTAGATGGAAGGAAAAGAATTTGTAAAATATCCAGATTTGCCTACAAAGACCCCAAATCTGTTGATGGCCAAAAACCAAACTGATGAGTCAGTTGAAGATCTTACCTGCTGGCGTCTCCTACCCTCACCCCTGTTTTTCCTTCATCTGTGCATGGCTGTGATCATTTTCATTTGTGTACAAATGTTGGAGTTTACTGCAAGGGTACTTAACCTAGAGACAGCCCTGGGAAAAAGGCTTAGAATTCAAGGGCAGATATTACTCAGGCAGGTAGTGAAGCAGCCTAGGACTGGAAGGGGGGCCCCACCTTCTCTCTGAGCTGGCATCCCAAAGTCCCAGCTCCCAAATCTTGGCAGAATTCAGACTCTAGTTATGACTGTCCCAGACTGCCCACTCACTCCCCAGCCCCCACCCAACTTCTTCTACAGTTCATATATTCATGGTCTCATCATCTCAAGACTCTCCTCCTGTCATTTCCTAACCTCTCTCTCAACCGAATGCCATGAAGTCCAGGTTGTTTTGGGGCAGCTGTCATCAGCCCCGTCTTGTGAGTACACTAGATGGGCAACACGTTCACTCAGTTCTCCTCACATCATTCCCCATAAAGTTCCAGCCTGAAATACACAGTCTCCCTGAAATATACAGCTTTCCCAACCATAGGGCATAGATTAAAATAACAGGTCATGACTTAAGTCGATTTAAGCCCTCCCTGCCCTAATTCCCAGCACACCTTTTCTAAATGTCAACCTACTTTACTATTAAAAATCAGCAAAAGTTAATTGAAATTTTTAAATTGACTGGTGCAGATTATAAAAATATTCCTTTTTAAACTATCTGTGGTGAAGGACTAGTTTTTTTTTTTCCAATTCATCATCAACCAAGACGTGGTCCTACAGTGCCTGCTTTGGGCCACTTGTGACCTACCCTGTGAGTGACCAAGCTCATCTATGTCCTGTTCAGTGAGGCAGGATTAATTGAGAACACACTTGGATGTTGCAGCACAACCACCATAGAGGTTTCTAAACTATGGTTTTCATATGTCTCTTGTTACAGATCAGAAACAGTGTGTAGACCAGTACCAGTCTGCAGACTGCAGAATGTGTATTCAGGATGTTCTTGCCTTCTCACCCCCATAACCTACCACTGTCATGTAGAGGGAGAGGCCCAGGACCCTCCAGGGCCCCATGTCTCTGGCAGTACTGTCCTTCTAGTTTGCACAGACAGACCCTTGATCTCCTCACCTACTCATGATAAATCTGCCATACCTCTCTCTCAGATGTACCTACCTTTCCTTGTGTCAGCTGCGGTCATTGTCACCCAGCCTCCCAACATCACTCCCCTGCACTGACATAGGGGTCCCCTACCTGGGTTCCCCGCTTAGTCCTTCTGTCCCCATTTCAACCCACTCTGCAGAACCAAGCCACAAGCAATCCTTTTAAAATATACATGGAGCATGTTCATGATTCTCTTCCACTTAAAGCTTTTTGGTGGCTTCATTTGCTCTTAGGCTAAGATCAAAGTACTTGATGTGGCCTACAGGGTGCTGGGGGGCCAAGCACCTGTCTGCTTCCCTGTGTCGCCTCCCTACTCTCTCCTCCCCAGCATGCCTGGGCTTCTCAAAAGTCCTCTGACTCCTCCTTTCCCCACACTCCTAGTACACATAACTACTGTACTCCCGGGATCTGCTCTAGGTACTTTGCAAAGGGTGATCTCATTTAAACGTCACGTCCACAGTAGATGATTAGTCGTGTTTTTAAAATGAGAAAACCAGAGCTCAGAGAGGTTAAGTGTCTTGCTTAGTGTTGAAGAACAGCCAGTCAGTGAGATCTAGCCCAGCCTGGGAGATCTGGGCCTAAGTCTGCTGCTGCTGCACTGACTTGTCCGGTGTTGGCACCTGAGGAGAACACATCTGCAGTGACGTGTAAGGAGTTGGAGGATCTTCCTGTCTGCCCCCTCACCAGAGTAACATTGTCCCTTCCTACACTTCTCTGTGTTTGGTTTTTCTTCACCAGCCCCCCTCCAGCTGACCTTTCTTTCCTTTTAGCATTGCATCTCATTTACTAGATAATGTGCTTCCAGCTGTTAGCACCCAGGGATTTAGTGTTAGCCAGAGCCTGAAGAACAACTAAAAATAGCCCCATTTTGTCCATTTTCTCTAGAAAGGCCTGAGCGTGTGGGTTTCTGAGACCCAGTCATAATTGCAATGACCTTCATCTCCTGTTTGGGCCCTGCCATTTTGGGGAGAAAGCGACTTTACTCCTTGTCTTGGTCACTTTCAGCTTCTTGCATAGGAGCTTCCTTGGGCCTGGCACGATGCAGAAATCTACTGAGCTGACAGTTTTCAGGAGGCCCCAAGTATGTTCTGGCCTCTTTAAACACGTGGATATGCATTTGGAAATCCATTTACATGAATAAATGAACTGTTCAAGAGATGAAAAACATTTTTTTTCCATTTAAAACAGGAGAAAGAAAATCTCCTGAACTTTGCAACTTCATGATATCCTATACTTTGTGTCATTGGCCTCCACTGGAAGCAAGAAAAACAATGAAAAGAGAGGAAGATAAAAGCCTTCTCGATGAAAATAGTTGAAACAAGCACTGGCAATGAAAAAATTCATATGCTGTAATTATAGATTTTTTTGTTTGTTTTAAATCCTGGCGCTCAATCTGTGAGTTCAGTTTAATAATAATTATGCATGCAAGTGCAAATTTAGTATCATGTCAGTCAATTCCAAACACTATTTACAAAATGGAATCATTATAGTGCATTAATATAATGTAGACAGTAGTGTAGCCTCTTTCAGTATAATATCCTTAAAACATGACCACAGGATGGTTGCTGGAAGCCTTCAGAAGAGTTTAAGCTTATCTCAAGCCATCATAATATCATGTGAACTTTGTTTCTGAAAGAATATAGATTGGGTTCTCCCATTAGCAATGTATGTGGCAATTGTTTGTGATGGCTCAGAGAAAGAGAGAGAGACTGAGACAGAGACAGAGACAGAGAAAGAGAGAAGAATGTGCATCACTGAAGGGAAGACCCTCCGGGGACCTTTACTTCCATACTTGGCTCTATTACTCCAAAGACCGCACTGCATTGAAATTTGATTGTTTACATGTCTGTTGCCTCGCTAGATTGCAAGCTCATTGAGAGCAAGGGCCCTTGCTGAAATAGTAGGTGATGTGGCATAGGGATTTAAAGCACAGGCTCTAGAGCCAGACAGCCTGGATTCAAATCTCAGCTCCACCAGCATACTAGCTCAATGGCTTTAGGTAGGTAATTAACTTCTCTATGCCTCAGTGTCCTCATCTGTAAACTAAATAAATTGCTAGTAATAATGCCTATCTCAGAGAGTCATACTGCCTGTCTCATAAAGTTAGAACTGTTGAGATCAAGTAGGTAGAGCTCTAGAAAGATGCCTGGCACATAGAAAGTGCTTACTGAATGTCAGCTATTTATTCTCACTCCTGTACCCCCAGTGCCTAGCAGAGTGCCTGGTGTAGAGTAGAAGACCAATCAATGTGTGAGGGGTGGAAGGATGAGTGGATGGATGAATCAATAAACAGCATGCCTGTAATCCACAGTGTGCATTGCTTATCTGAATCTATAGCTTTCTTTTTATTTCAATGGCTCTGCCAGAATGCAGGCCTCTCCTTTGTTGGAACTTGAGGCTGCCTGGAGATGATTGGATTTGGTTCAGATAGCTATCGGGAGAGACAAAGAGGTTTGCACATCAGAGACTGAAGTTGAGCCTTTGCAAATGTGCAAAACTGAGAATTGAGGCAGAAGTCATTATTAACTCACACATTTAACAGGATGTTTGCCTTTCAACAAAGGGTGACTAATTAATGTAACAGTTGATTATGTAGCTCCCTTAATTTGTTACTGGTTTTCAAATACCAAAGTAATTACATCACTAAAAGAGGACAGTTGTTAGAAAGTCAGTCTACAGAAGAGATTCAAAAAGGATTGCCTCTGTTGGTTCTAAAGTCCTGTTTCGGTGTAGTCTTGTGTTTGGGTCTGATTTGGCAGCCATTCACAAGTCCCTGAGTAGAAGTCAGACCCAGTACCATGCCAGGGGTAAGAAGGATAGAGTGCCTCCTGTGGTGAGCAGATGTGGATGGGCTGTGGGGTCAGACCATCTGGGTTCAAATCCTGACTGTGCTGCTGACCAGCAGTGTTCACAGTGCCCATCTCTGGAAATGGCACCACTCATAGTATCTGCCTCATGGCGATGATGGGAGGATTAAAGTGCTTAAACCATGTCTGGCATATGATAAAGGCTAAAAAATATTTAATATTATTATTATTCATGATTTACCTTCTGCTTTTCTCTCCTGCCTCATGTCCACCATGGATCTTATTTCCCAAGCACACCCAGCCCCTGATGACCCTGTGCCTACTCATGCGTGCTTCATTTCCCTTTCCCCCACCCCCACCCCCACCCCAGCTTGGCGAGCTCCCAGTCATCCTTCAAATCTTAGCCTAACTAAATTGTCTTCTTTAAAGCCTCTCCTGCCTCTGCCACTAGGCGGAATTAGGAACTTCTCCCCCTCTGCCACTTTGCCCCTTGAATATATTGTGTTTCAATGACTTTAACATTTTTTTCTCACATTATAATATCTCTGCAATCAGCATTTGCATTACAGTTTATAGTGCCTTTGATTCAGTATAATACAGCATGTCCATTATAGCTCATTCCTCATCGATTATCATTACTTGTGTGTCTTTGCAACCTGAGGATGGAGACTGGGTATTAACCAGTGCCTAGACACAGCAGTCAGTCAGTGCTGCTAAACAAATAGTAGAATAAGTGAACAAACAGTATAGCTACTTGTCTGATTTTTTAGGTAGTACAGTCTAATCTCTTTGGATATGTACTAATATCTGAAAAACAACAATAACAACAACAGTATAGCCTTTACCATGTGCCACATACCATTCAAAGCACTTCTATGTATTAATTAATTTGCTCACTTCATCTTCATAATAACCTAATGAAGTAGATTCTATTTTTATCTTCATTTTACAGATGGGGAAACCAAGATTCAGAGAGGTTAAGCAACCTGCCCAAGATCCCGTAGCTAGTGGTGATGGAGCTAGGATTTGAACCCAGGTCATCTGGCTCCAGAGCTGGCAAATCTACCGCTTGATCACTGACCTTTTGTTTGTGAATAGATTGATTTAATACTCTTTAATCAGGCATCCAAAGGCTTTCCTACTCTATCAGCACCATTTGCCTGGACAACCTGTATATACTAGCCAACGCTCTCAGTTCTTAGACCCCCAGTTAAGGCAGGTACAGGTCTGCACATCTGGCTCACTTCATTCCTCTGCCTGGAACTTTGTCTGCCTTTTCTTTACCATCAATTCAAATACAGAACTGACTTTAAAGCCCATTTTAATCCAACCTTCCATGGCACCTTTGGAACCTACTCCACCCCAAAGGGAAGTGCCTTTGCTTCTAACTCACTGTCTATAATAACCATTGAAAATTGCATACGTGCTAGTTTATGTATAGATAATGCTCTTGCATCAGGGTTTATATTGCGTTGGCTTTTTCTAACCCTGTTTCCACTTTAGACTGCCAACTAATATGAATTTCCTCAAAACTCTTTGTATTCTAGAACCCCAGAAGTACTAAGGATTAAATAAATAATGTCTTCATCAGTTTATTTCTTCTGAGGAACTACAGCTATATTACCTAGCTTACACTATTAGTGTTTCATTCATTTACTGTTCAACAAACATTTATTGAGTACCCGTGATGTTCTAGGAACTGCGCTACTTACTGCTACCCCTACAGCTACTATTACTACTAATAACAGCAGCTGACATTTATCAAACATTTATTTTTGCTCAGACATCATGCTAAACACAATGCATATGCAGCCTTTCTTTAAATTCCTACAATCAACCCTATTATCCTCAGTTTACTGATTTTGAAACTGAGGCTTGGAGAGATCAAGTATTTTGTCTTATAAACACCATAAGCACAAGGATTGTGTTTGTTTTTCCTTGTCTGTGTACCCTCAGCACTCAACAGTTTCTAGCTCTTATGAGGTCCCCAGTAGATATGTATTGATTGAGTAAATGGTGGAACCAGTGAGTTCATTTGTCTAGACCCAGAGCCTCCAATGCTACCCATTATGCTACCTTGGCTCTCCCAACCCAGTTTTACAGATGAAGATACTGAGATTCTGAGAAACGAATTGTCCCAGTCCATGCGGGTAAGCAGTAGCAGAGGTCAGAAAATACCCAGGTCTATCTGACTATTCTGGTAAAAATAATTTTTGGCCTAAAGGCAATCTTACTATGTAAACTATCTATAAGGTAGAGTTAGAATGTGTCCTTTTTATTCTTTCTCAAATAATATCATCCCCAGGGCAATCAAGATTAGGTATATTTGGCGTATAAGTTGAAGAATTGCCCCAATTTTTAAATAATTATTTACATTATTATTTTGGTTATCGAAATGGGCCCCATCATTGCTTCATAGTCCGGTAGAATTAATCCCTAAATTGTAATCTTTCATTTTTCTTCTCTCATCTTTAAACAAGGAACAAGCCATAATGTATGCATGATAAATCAGAGACTTTTATATGATGCAGTTTGATTTCTGTTTTCCACTGTGGCTTGTAAAATGCTTTCATAGAGTGTTAGAGGTCAAAGGGACAATAGAAAAAGTTAGTTCAGCAATTCACTCCTTCTGCCCTCCAGACACACAAGACTCCAATTAGATGGTAATGGGGGTCCGTGAGCTGTTTTCATATAGTCCTGAGTTCAAATTCTACCTGAACCCTTATGAGTTGTGTGACCTTGGACAAGAATATTAACCCCTCTGAGTCTAAGTTTCCTTATTTGTAAAATTAGAATTATAATATTATCCTACAGGGTTGTACTGAAGATTAGATACTATATAAATAAAAGGCCAACTACACTGGCACCAAGTAGACAGTAAATAAAGGTAAGATATTATTTTGAAAAGCCTGAGAGAAGCTATATTTATTTTCAATAAAGTTGTAAAGAATAATCAAAATGGGAAATTTTTTCCCACCTTAGGTTGGAGGTTTATCAACTCTGTGAAGTCACACTCAACAGCTTATTAAAAAATAAATAAAGTTCCTGCTGGGTGCGGTGGCTCATGCCTGTAATCCCAGCACTTTGGGAGGCTGAGGCGGGCAGATCACAAGGTCAGGAGATCGAGACCATCCTGGCTAACACGGTGAAACCCCGTCCCTATTAAAAATACAAAAAATTAGCCAAGCGTGGCGGTGGACACCTGTGGTCCCAGCTATTCGGGAGGCTGAGGGAGGAGAATGGCATGAACCCGGGAGGCGGAGCTTGCAGTGAGCTGAGATTGCACCACTGCACTCCAGCCTGTGCCACAGAGTGAGACTCTGTCTCAAAAATAAATAAATAAATAAATAAATAAATAATAATAAAAATAAAAAAGAAATAAAGTTCCAACTGGTAGTTAACCATGTCCTTTATAAGTAAATGAAAATTATATAATGATGAATTAATACTTAAAGTAGTTTAGGTGACAGTCCTCAAAACCTGGAGCACACAGAAGCATTAGTGCTGCCTTGGCCTTTAGGAGTTCTGTGATCTCCAAGTATGGAAGAGACATTTGCTGCCTGTGTCATAACCATAGTCCTCCATATTTCCAGCTCCTGCAATTAATAGCCATGCAACTATATCTGATTATAACCTAAGTGACATACATCACTTCCAGGCCAAAGTGCATAAGCATTGGATGCAACCCTCCAGCTCCTTCTTCTCCTGTCTGGATAACTATAAGGCTTTGGGTGGTAATGTAGAAGCATCCATCAGCTCGGGCTCAGTATGACTCTGTGCATGAGTGGCCCTGCCAGCCCAGATGGTACCTGTAGCTTGAATGAAAGATGAATATTGGTCATTGATATTTTATGGTTAACTTAGCCTATCTTAATATATTAAACCACAGGTCTTCCAGGGTAATATACATCAGGTGGTGTTTATAAATTTTAATTTCTGCAACTGGAAAAATATTGCTCATTCATTCTTTACTCCTTTTATTAATTCATCTATCCATGCATTTATCTGCCTATATATTCAACAAATATTTGTTTAGCAACACTCATTGCTAGATACTAATCTGGGTACTGAGGATATATTAACAAAAAGCCCTATTACCCCTGCCTTCTTGGGGCCATAACCTAGCTGGAGAAACAGACAAGAAAAATCCATAATTACAATCCCATGGGGCAAGGGCTGTGATCAGTAAGCCCTCCTATGTTATAGGAGCCCAGAAAAAGTTATCCCAGCTTGAAAGTCTTTTAAGCTGAGCCTTGGTGGATGAATAGGCATTGTATTATTTATTCAATAAATATTTATTGATTAGCTACTATATGCCAAGTAAGTACTCTAGGCATGTGGATATAGTAGTGAACAATGCAGGCAAGACAATAAATAAGGACACAAATAAGTGAAAAAGTTAATTTCAGAAAGTAGTAAATACAGTGGAGCCTGTGAAAGAGGGTGACATGATAGGGATTGACTGTGGGGAGTGACTGTAGCTTGGGTGGTCAGGCAAGGCACCTGAGAGGAGCTGACCTATGAGCTGAGTTTGCCAGGGCCCAGTGAGTTCAAGACCCTGAGGAGCCATAGTAGAAAACAAAGCTCTCAGGAAGATGGGGATGCAGAGCAGAAACATACAGGCTTCGTTTGTATGTCAGATGTGGCTGGTGGGATACTCAATATTTCTTTTGCTGAATTTAATTTTTCTTCAAGTTCCTTTGCTTGAAATGGGGGAGTTTAAATATATCTCTTGCGGTGGAGATATCTATTATTGGACTCGTGAGTTTTTATTTTAGGCATTTCAGAAAGCAGTACTCTGAGAGGAGCCAGGGAAGAATGAGCAGTAAGCTTTTAAGCAAAGAGGTTGAAAATAGGAAATTGGTATGCTTTGTGGATTTTGAAAAAAACCACCGGCTCTGGAGTGAGAAAGGCTTGGGTGTAAATCCCAAATCCACTACTTTTCCAGCTGGCTGATCTTGAACAAAGGACAACCCCTCTCAGCTTCGATTTCCCTATCAGTTAACTATAGATAATAATAGCAATGATCCAAAAGGCTTATGATGAGGCTCAAATGAGAAAATGCATCAAAGTTCTTAGCATGGTGATTGGCAAGAAGAAAACATTTAGTCAACATTATCAGCTATTACTGCTATGATTACTATTATTCTCATCTTTATCCTTATTGTTGTCACCATTGCCATATTTATTTTGATGGGAAGCATTATTCTTTCTCATATTTGCAATAACTTTTCTGAGCACTTTTATGTCACTTATTTAACAAATTACATATAGGCTACTGTCCCTAATACATCAAGTCCTAAATTCTCATCCTGACATTTGAGGCCTTCTTTTATTTATCTTTAACCAGAATGGTTCCACCTTACTTCCCACGTTATTTAACCCTACTCACCTGCCTCACACTCCAAAGTTCCCTCCTCACACCTAGCCTCCATACTTTCATTCAAGCTGGTTCCCACCCACCACAGAATGTCCTCCCTCTTGACTGTAATAAAATATGTTGAGTGCTTACACTGTGCCAGCCATCAGGGTGGACACTTCATATATATGATGCCGTTAATCGTCAACCCAAAGTAACTGAGACTTGGAAAGTTGACTTTTCTTTGTTTGAAATGGGGAGTCTAAGTATATCTGCCAAACCAAGACAGGTAGGAAGTAGCAGTGGATCATTGGTGATATCTATGCAAAGTTTCCCAGTCCTGCAAGACAGGACTCAGAACTTCCTTCTCCAGTTCTCTGATCCAGGGTAAAATGTCACAGTCTCATTGGGCCTCTGTCCATGTTACCCAAAGTAGGAAGAGAGAGCCTTCAGGTGAACAAAGGCAAAGGGACAAACCAACAAGGCAGTGTAAAGACACAAAGGGCGCTTGCCTCACTCAGTGGGCCCCCTTCACTGTGAAAGGATAGCACTGAATTTCTGAATGACATCTGCATCAGATGGAATCCTGTCCTGTGGCCTTGCTGTGCTACGGTAAACTCAATGCAGAGGTACAAGAGTTTTCTTAAAGGTAAACGAGTCAACCCAGCCTGAAGGAGAGTCTGAATTTCAGTAGATGGGAAAGTTGTAGGTCAGTCTTGAGAAGCAGTAGCCAAAAAAGGGCTTTTCACAGGAAGTCATCAAGAGGTTGAAAGTGAGCAAAGTCAACATGAATGAGGTTGCAGAGTACAAGTAATATAGGGCAAGAGATCGAGGTATGTGGGAAGCCCACTTTTCTATGGTACAGAGGTAGGGCATGACTAGATACTTTAAGACTCAGTTAAGTCTCAGAAACCAGACCCACAGAACCCTACCTCCTGACTTCCTACTGGCCTGGCCTGGATGGAATTTGCATCCTGTGATCCAGGTATGACCCAGGAATGAGAGACAGAATTGAGCATAGGACAGTGATAAGATCCTTCAGTGGGTCTACTCATAGGAGATACTCTCTGATATCAGTTTCAAAATAATTTTAGGATACATGAAAAATACACAAAATAATTTTAGGAGACATAAAAGTCATGAAATGAATCCTTCCCATCCTAAGGAAGTGAATGTGTAATTGTAATTTAGAAGTGGGATGGGCTGATTTCAGCATTACTGCATCCCCAAATCCCCCCTTCGCCTCCTCCCTGTAACCACTCTGACCTCAGGCCCTCTTACCTCGGTAGATGGTCAACTAGAAGATGCTTTCAGCAACCAAATCTGCATGTACATAAGGGAAAGCAAAAAAGGAATTTGAATCTTGCTGCTAGACTTGCTGAGACTCAGGAAGAAGGGAGAATGTGATCCGGATTTTGCAAGCTGAGGTTGGGCTATGTTTCTTCCTTTGAAAGTGAGCTGTGAGGGGGAAACACAGATAGCCAAAGCTGCCCTGCTATGTGCCTGGCTGGTAGCAGAGACTCAGTAAATATTATTGAAGGGGTGAAAAATTCATGAAAAAGTGAGAGAAACCACATTCAGTTAACTAGAAAAAAGAATGAAAAATAAAAGTTTTGAAGATGTCAACTCCAAGATTCCTTTTTTTTTTTTTTTTTGAGGCAGAGTCTCACTCTGGCACCCAGGCTGGAGTGCAGTGGCATGACCTCAGCTCACTGCAACTTCCACCTCCTGGGTTCAAGTGATTCTTGTGCCTCGGCCATCTGCATAGCTGGTATTACAGGCGTGCACACCACACCTGGCTAATTGTATTTTTAGTAGAAAGGGGTTTCTCCATGTTGTCCAGGCTGATCTCAAACTCCTGACTTCAAGTGATTGGCCCACCTCGGCCTCCCAAAGTGCTGGGATCATAGGTGTGAGCCACCGCACCCAACCAACTCTAAGACTCTTAAACACTTGAGCTCATCTGACTTACTAGGCCCTCTTCTAGATACGTACAGAGGTCATTTAACTCACAACTTTATGATGTGTAGTTTACTATTCCCATTTTACCAGCCTGAAACTGAGGATTCTAGGAGTGAAAGTAGTGCCCACAGTCATATGGTTATTTGCAGACTGGAATTCACACACCATCACCATTTATTGGAAGCTTATTATAAGCCTATATATTTTACATGCAATATCCATTTTATTCTTCACAGTCACTCTGCAATTATTATTATGCAGAGTGATGGTAAGGAAATTGTATGTTATTATTCCCATTTTTTTTTTAGATGAAGAAACTAAGGCTTTGCGACCTCACATTGCAGGGTAGATAAGTAGAGATTACTCCATTGCTGGTGGAAGATGATTTTCAAGGCCTGGATCTCAGGCATTAGCCTGGAACTGGGCTCACTGAGTACTAGAATTATTGCCTTATATGGTGATGTGTTATTTCTGGTGCTGAGAAGGCTCAGAGCCAACAGAGTATCACTCTCTGACCAGGGGACCTTTTTCCACTCCACAAGGTGCCAGATTTTTAACCTTGGACATACCTCTGTGATGCAAAGACGGAGGTGACGAGCAGCCACCTGCCTCTGCCTGAAACCCCACCAGAACCCAGGTCCAGTGTGTCATCCTGACCTTTTGCAGAACCTAGGACCAGCTCTACTCTGGACTGGCAAGTGTGCAGCTATGGAACAGTACAGTTGCTCTTTGAGCCTAGGTCTATCTGGGTCTTTGCATTATCTTATCAGGCCCTGTACTTGCTTTTCCTTTTCTTCTGGGAATGACATGAGTAAAGACCCCTCTTCCATCGCCTTCTCAATCACACCTTTCCTGATCAAGAAATGGACTACATTTTTTGCCTAGAAAAGGAAGGCCTGGAAAGGATTTTTAATTTTTTAATTATTTTTATTCTTTAAGGATAAGAAACTAAGTTTTATAGCTTTTAAATGTGTCTACATCTTCTCAGAATATAGGTACTTGGACTTACCCTCACCCTTATAACTGTCAGAGACTTCTCCCATGGCTTCCCCCGTCACCCTGCACTTCCCCTCTCAGGGCACCTGGCACACCATGTTGTTATTGCTCAGGCATGCCCCCCCACCCCCCTCCCCCGCCAGACCACTGTTTGTTCGTTCTCACACTGCTATTAAGACTGGGTAATTTATAAAGAAGGAGGTTTCATTGACTCACAGTTTCACATGATTGGGGAGGCCTCAGGAAACTTAAAATTGTGGTAGAAGGCTAAGAAGAAGCAAGTACCGTCTTCCCAAGGTGGCAGGAAAGAGAGAAACCCAGGGGTAAACTGCCGTTTATAAAACCATGACATCTCATGAGAACTCACTCACTATCATGAGAACAGCATGGGGGATAACCACCCCCATGATCCAATCACTTCCTACCAGGTCCCTCCCTCAACACATGGGGATTTATGGGGATTACAATTGGAGATGAGATTTGGATGGGGACACAGCCAAACAATATCAACCATAATCTTAAAAGGAGCAGGCGCCATGTCTATTTCAGCACTGTACCTCTAGGGTCCAGTATGGTGCTTGAAACGCAGGAAGTAGTCAATAAATGATTTTGTTGAATGAGCAAATACGTATATACAATGGTGAGAACCAATGTCCCCCTAAGGGGTAGGTAGGGTGTCTTTCTAACGGCATGGTTTACCCAGGAGCTGCACTTTCTTATTCTAGGCCAGGACAGAGAGACTTCATTCAGGTCCTTTTCTGCATCTAATCCCATGTGCCAAAGAGAGATGAAATGCAAGAGAGAGTCAATGATGCATCTGAAAGAGTCAGACAGACCTGGATTCAAATCCTTACTCTCCCACTTCTTAACTGGATGGAGTTGGGCCAGTTACGGAGTGCTCTCAACTGTAGGAGAAGGTACATATTCAAAAAGAAACAAAAACCAAAACAAACAAAAACCACACACTTAGGTAACATTTATTAGGTGCCAGGAACTGTTTCAAGTGTATTGAATAGTATAAGCTATTGAATCATCACAACACCATAATGTTGGTACTGTGGTTATCCATGTTTTACAGATAAGCAAACAGAGGCACAGAAAAGATAAATCTTTAGCAAAGGTCACATAGCTGGTAAGTGGCAGGGCCCCCAGGCAGTCTGGTTCCAGTGTCCATGTTCTTAACCTCTGCACTTGCTGCTTCTATCAAGATGATATAGAAAAAGCATGAACTTCTGAATCAGAAGGCATTCAAGGGTGCTGATATCTAATCTTCTGCTTCCTAGATGTGACTTTGGGCTGATTACTTAGTCTCTCTGAGCTAAATACCTTCTTCATTTTATTATAAGGATAACAAAATGAGATAATGAATGAAATAAATAAATTACATAGAGCTTTAAAATAAAACTACGATGTGGTTGTTAACTGATAGATTCCAAAGAACCTTGAATGATACAATGAGATACTTGTCTTATATTCCGTGGGTCTACAGAAGCAATGGGAAGTATTTTTTTTTAAATCAAAACAGGAAAGGCTGGATGGATGGATGTAGAGACAATTTATCAATATTTTAGAATAGCAGTCCCTAATCTTTTTGACACCGGAGACCAGTTTCATGGAAAACAGTTTTTCCACTCACCCTGAGTGAGTCCTTGTGACACAGCAGACACCCAGCATGGGGCAACAAGGGGATGTGGCAAGAAGAAACCCTCACAGCTCTGGGCTCAAGTAAGCAGAGGCAAAACTTGGCTTGAAACTGCTATAATGCATAGCAGTTTGGGGTGGGGCGGGGTGAGGGATAGTTTCAGGATAAAACTGTTCCACCTTAGATCATCAAGCATTAGATTCTCGTAAGGAGTGTGCAACGTAGATCTCTGGCACGCAGTTCACAATAGGGTTCGCGCTCCTATGAGACTCTAATGCTGCTACTGATCTGATAGGAGGTAGAGCTCAGGCGGTACTGCTCACTCACCTCATGCTATGCAGCCTGGTTTCTAACAGGCCACAGATTGGTACCTGGCCATGGTCCGGGGGTTGGGGACCTCTGTTTTAGAAGACATACTTCAATTAGAGGACACTTAAAGGAAATGTATAATAAGCAATATATTGTCATCTCTTGGATTTGGGAATAGCTAGGAGATAGGAATTCGGATCTAGCCCTGGGAGTTTTGTATTCTAGAGGTTTGAACTTGGGCCTGCAACCTCACTTGTTTGAACCTCAGTGTCTTTCTCTGGCAAATAAGTGATAATAAACCTTTCTCACTGGCTTGTAATGAGAATTAAATTTGAACCTATAAGAAAAGCATCAGACAGGTAGGGGGCACTTTAGAAACGCTGGCTCCCTCTCCCCCAACTGGCTGAGCCCCTTGATATTCCCCATTGTATCCAAATGATAGGAAATTGCTAGATGCCTACTTTTGCGGATTAATTTCCTGAAGTGGGGAGAAGACATTGAGACTAGATACCCTGGATTTTCATCCTTGTGCTTACCTGCTTGCAGGTGCAACTGGTGAAAGAAACATTCCCTTCAGCAGGGGTCTTTGTTCTGCTGCAATTAAGGGCTCCTCGCTAATCCTTCTGCTTCCCAGATGCTCTTGGAGCCAGCTGTATTTTTAGCACATCTCTTTGATAAGCTTCACTCTGAAGACTTCCTATTATTCATTTCAAAACTTGACAACTCCTATCACTTTGTCCCTCATTGCATTCTGATACACAAAGAAAGAATGCATTGCAGCAGTTTCAAGCCAAGTTTTGCCTCTGCTCACTTGAGCCCAGAGCTGTGAAGGTTTCTTCTGGCCACATCCCCTTGTTGCCCCATGCTGGGTGTCGGCTGTGTCACAAGGACTCACTCAGTCACATTCTTATCTGCCTCGTATTATAAAATATGCAATTATATATTGTGTGTAGGTATAGTCAAGGGGGCCACAAATGCTCTTGTGTGTTCACAAACCAGCAGTCACAGTACAGTTCTGGGACAAGACTGTAAAGCCTGTAGAAATAGAGCAGAGATCAATATTTCTTACATCAAATCATTTACTCAATGATATGTCTTGAATATATGTCCCCATCAAATCTCATGTTAAGATGTAATCCCCAATGTTGGAGGTGGGGCCTGGTGGGAGGTGTTTGGGTCACGGGGACGGATCCCGCATGGCTTAGTGCTGTCCTTGTGATAGTAAGTAATTTCTTGCAAGATCTGGTTGTTTAAGTATGTGGCAGCTCCCCCATCCCTCACCCCCACCTCACTCTCTCATGCCCCTGCTCTGGCCATCTGATATGCCTGGTCCTGCTTCACCTTCCGCCATGAGTAAAAGCTCCCTGGCCCATCTCCCTTTTGTTTTGCAATAAGGGGTTGCTCTGGAAATTTGCTGAGCAGATGCTGGCACCCTGCTTGTACAGCCCGAAGAACAGTGAGCCAATTACGTATCTTTTTGTTATAAATTACCCAGTCTCAGGTATTTCTTTATAGCAATGCAAGAATGGCCTAATACATTCCACAAACACTTACTAAGCATTAACTTTGTACCAGGATACGTTCTAGGTAAGGGGGTATATTGTACATAAACAGAGAAGTTATTCCCTCATGGGATACACTTTGAATAGTTTGAAATAACAATATAACATTTATTAAGCACTTTCTGTATTCTGGACACGATGCTAAGCAAGTCACGTGTAATTTCATATAATTCTCATAACAGTTCTATAAGGTGGAAACAGTTATTCCCATTATACAGGTGAGAAAGGAAAGTCACAAAAAGCATAGGTGTTTAGCCCAGGTGTACATTGCTTGTGAGTGAAAGGCCAGCGTTTGACCTCTGGCTCCAGGGTCTGTGCCCTTAACCATTGTGCTTCACCGTTCCGGTCCTCTAGCCAGACTGCCTCACATGCCAGGGTGACAATTAGTAAAAGAATGTGTAAGGCACTTAAAGCCGGGGCCTGCATCTCAAGCTATAGGTGGAGATGATTATCGCCTGTGTGGTGTCAAAGATAAACACAGCTGGACATTCACAGTTAAAGCAGTGAAACAGATTTTATTCAGTAACAATTGACAGTAGAGAAAAGAGCTGAACTACATTCCGATTTGTGCAGAGGTGACTGGGCTGTTTCAAGGGAGAATGAGAGAGTGGGAGGGGAAATAGTGAGAGCTTGAGTAGAGTCAGGGAAGTGAAAAATCCCAAAAAGCTGGAGGTGGGCACTGGGAGAAGGGGAAGTGGTAGCAGGTTGATCCATGTGAAACCCATCTGGGTAACTGGCATTTATCAAACTTAGGCTCCTACCCTCCAAAGAGTCTGGGAGATGGGCCCAATCTTCAGGTGTTGGCTGAAACAAACAGTAAATTCCTCTGGCAGCTCTGAGTTTTCTTAGGCAGGCACTTTAAGGGAGACTAGGGCCATCCTAGGGACGTGGCTTTGATCTCTTAGAAACTCAGTGTTAGTGGGGCCAGGCTCACTGGCTCACGCCTGTAATCCCGACACTTTGGGAGGCTGAGGCAGTTGGACCACCTGAGGTCAGGAGTTCAAGACCAGCCTGACCAACATGGTGAAACCCCGTCTCTACTAAAGATACAAAAATTAGCCAGGTGTGGTGGTGCATGCCTGTAATCCCAGCTATTCGGGAGGCTGAGGCATGAGAATCACTTGAACCCAGGAGGTGGAGATTGTAGTGAGCCGAGTTTGGGCCATTGCACTCCAGCCTGGGCAACAAGAGCAAAATTCTGTCTCAAAAATCAAAACAAAACAAAAAAAGAAACTCTGTTAGTGTTTGTTTACATCTTTCTAGGCCAAGGTTGAGGCCTAGCGAAGAAGAGGGCTCAGAGGAGCCAAGTAGAGCTTGGTCAAGGACAGAATCTTTGTCAACAGCGCATCCTACTTTCCATTGCTGGTCTATTATGATCCCTGCACCAGCTCTGCCAAGTAGGCTAGCCACTGACATTCTTGCACAGATTCATCAGTGGAAGCCCGGACAGGTTAAAGATAGGTGGCTAGATAATGAGTCATTGCAAATCAGAATAGCAAGTCTTCTGAGCAAAGGGAAAGCAGAGAAAAAGAGGCTCAGGGAGCACAGAACAGAGGCAGCTAATCCAACTGGAGATGGAAACCCTTTCAGGAGTTCCAATGCCAGTCCTTCAGTGGCTCAACCCTGAAACCTCAACAGAGTTTTCAAAATGACAGGCACAGGCTTCCACATTTGGGCTCAGTCCCAACTCTCCTTCCGATTGCAGAGAGAGGTTGCTCTGGAAAGTCATATGGAAGGGCCCTACAGATGACCTCAGACAAACACCCTCTCAACACCCACGTCTAGAACCCTTCAGAATTTTCTGGAGCTGCCTCCTTCTGCCCTGGCATTTGCACCCACTGCTGTCTGTGCCTTACAGTGTACTTCTCTCCCCTTCTCCCTTGGTGACTCCTTATTTCTTGTGAATTAGCCCGAACGTTTTCTCTTCCCGGCATCCTGCCCCAGTGAGGCTAACTTGCCCTGATTACGTGATCCCCCAGCCCAGGCTCTGCATCTCCATCTCTCTGAGAACTTGCCATGCCCTATTACAGTTGCCCATGCACCTGGCTGTCTCCTGCAGGTCGTGTGTCTCTGGAGGGTAGGGACTGCTACTGGTCACATGTGTTTTCTATGCCCTGTGCCTTTCTGGCATGCAACCCACAGCAAGCTTTCATGGGTTGTTTACTGAAAGGACAATGGATGAAACATCCAGGTTACATAGCTCTGTGCCCAGGGTTCTTGCTGGCCCTCTCAGATCCCTCTCAGTCACTTACCTCTGCCAAACACCCAAGCTTACCTTGCAGCCTTCAAGGTGGTGCTCTGAAACAGTATCCCACAAATGGGGACATCGATGGACACCACAGATCTTTGACTTCCCCAAGGTAATAATACAGTGGAGAAGAAAGTAGCAGAGCCAAGGAATGACCCAGACCCATTCAACACTGACACACGTGCTCACTCATCAATTTCACCGTCAGGTGTTATAAAGCCTTATGCTATTAGTTAGGAAAACACATCCAGTTGTCTCCAAAAACTGCCAGTGCAGCTAATTAAACAAAGAGGCACATTGCCATCACCACTGTCACCACCCCCTGACCCCCTCCCCCCGCCATTCAGGTTTTTTTCATGTGTGTGTGTGTGTGTGTGTGTGTGTGTGTGTGTGTGTGTGTTTAAGACAGAACCCCTGTCACCTGTTACTAAAGAACTTTGAATGAATTTCTGTGGGTCACGGACTGTAGACCAGGAAGCAGGGATTAGGCAGTGAGGGGAGGCAGGATTTATCTTCGGCTCACAAACACTTTGCCAAACTGTCCCCAGACCAGAGAGTCTGCTTCTTTTATAACCCAGAGAAAAAGAACAGTTGCTCAAGTCCAGCTGCAGCCTGGCCAGGGCCCTCAGACCCTCTCCTCCAGCAGGGAGAGCCAGGTTTATTTGTAACCATCTGTTCGCCTATGAACCAACCTCCCCGATGCTTCAGCTGAGCATCCCTTGGCACACTGTGTTAGAGAGAGCCCTAGGATATGGCTTCCATCGACGGGCACCCAGCTGGGAGGGACAGCTCAACTCTCTGTCCTCGAACCTGAAGAAGGACTCTATTTGCAGCATGTGGGAAGGCTTAACTGCAGCAAAGATTAACAGCAGGGTCAATTAGAAAGGAGCTGACAATTTCAACCACTCCAGTTTTTTAAACTGGCCTTCAAAATTCTGCATCCCCTGACCCCTGCCTGTCTTGTCACCTTCAAAGACTGTCACTCACTGCCCAGCATTTTATTGCCTAATAATCCCATACTGATTGCAGTTGCCTATATAACATGCTGTTTTATAGCTCTGCAAGTCATTGCTATCCTTCTGGATAGAACATCTTGATCCCCACCGCTCCCACACTCACTAATTTTTATCTAGTCAGTTCCTACTAATTTAGTCACTTCAGACCTCCATGCTTACCCTGGCTATGCCTTTACTATTGCATAAACACAATATTCACTTATTCACTCCGTGAATCATTACTGAACTCTGCCACCCCCCGCCCCCAAGTGTCATACAGTGTGCGAGGAGCTGGGGATGTGATGGTGAGCCAAAAACGAACATGGGAGCACTTTCCTGTGTCTCGTAGAGGCAGCAGATATTAGCCAGGTAATTATACACATGAAGGGATCATTAGACTGTGGTTTGTGTTAGGAAGAAAAGGAATGGTTTCTTTGAAAACATTAACAAAGACACCTGACCTCCCTTCTCTGCTGTAGAGTGTGAGCTCCTCGGAGGCAAGGGCCTTGCCAGTGCTTTGCACCCCCAGCACCTAGCACAGTGTTTCTGGATCAAGGCAGATGCCCCATTACTAGAATTGAGTCCTGGGGGCACATCAGAGCTGGGCCAGTAGCGGGCAGTATTTGATGCAGAATGCCTAGGTATTTGATGCAGACAGCCTAGCTTCTTCACATCTGCCCTCACTTGGGCGCAGTTGTCTCTAAGTCTGGCACAGAGATGAAAATCTATGCCAGGAAGGAGGGACAAGAAGGCAGACAGCTGGGCAGAGCTTGATGATCACAGCCCTAAGGAGATGACCTGATGTAGTAAAACGGGCATGAAGCTTGGCATCAGACTGGCCATCAGCCTCAGTGCTGAATTTCACCATTGATGAAACATTAGACAAGTTGCTTAATCCCCCTGAACCTCAGTTTTCTCATCTCTAACAGGCAAATGGTAGAACTGAGGGTAAGAATTTATTAATCTGCATCAATTTTGCCTGCTGAGACCCTAAGGTAAGTTGAAGGAGATGGCTACAGAACGGTGTTTGGTGCATTTTCACAAAAGGGGGCGATTTGGTGCTAATTTCTTTTACTGACAGTTCATTTTCCAAGGCAACAGCCTAACAAATCATGGGGCCAATTAGTGTAAGAGAAACAATTGATCCTTGTACTCAGAGAGCTCAGCCCACCACCTCAGTGGTTTGGTGGTGTATTTGGGGACTGCTGCACAGCACTAAATGGGAAATAATTGGATAGATGCAGCTATAAATTGCATGGCACTGCACTACACTCTGTGTTTCTGATTTAAGTAGCAAGTTCTGTCAGTAACAGAAAAACAAAAAGGTTTGTTATTCTGCATTGAAAAGCAGAGCAGAGCTGGAAGGGATCATTCCTGCCCCTTCATTTTACAGATTGAAAAATTAAGGCTCACTGAGAGAGCAGAAAGACGAAATACGTAGAATTTAATTTCATGTTGGTTTCTTTTAACCCTTGTCTCATCAACAGTTTATCTTGGCAAACTCCTTAAACAAAAGGACCTGAAGATAAAAATAAGAAGATGGCTGTATTTAGTTTCCAAGGGCTGTTTCTCCAAAGTACCACAAACTGGACAGCTGAAACAACAGAAATGTTTTGTTGTATAGTTTTAGAGCCTGGACATCCCAGATCAAGGTGTCTGCAGGGATTGTTCTTTCTGAGGGCTGTGCAGAAGACTGGTCCATGCCTGTCCCCTAGCTTCTGGTGGATTGCTGGCAGCCTTTGGCATTTCTTCTGGGCATATCACCATGATCTCTGCCATCATCTGTATATGGCCTTCTCTCCATATACATGTCTGTGCCCAGATTTCCTTCTTTTATAAGGACACCATTCATATTGAATCAGTGGGCCACCCTGTATGATCTCATCTTAAATAAATACTTCTATAATGACTCTGTTTTTAAATAAGATCACTTTCTGAAGTACTGGAGTTTAGGACTTCAATATATGAATGGGGGTTGGGGGCATAATTCAACACTTAACAATGACAAACAATTTGGATAGCAGAATATTTGAGCTGGAGAGCAACTCCCATTTACTAAACAACCTTTGTGCCAGGCGGAACGCTAGGCACTTTACCAGCATAATCACATTTAATTCGTACTTCAATTGAATGAACTCACAGATGAGGACACTAAGGTTCAGAGAAGCTAGGTGATTTGTCCAAGTTAACGAAAGTAGCACACATCAGATGTGGGTTTCAGATGCTGACCTGTGTCTACTCCAAATCATGCCTTACCTCAGCACCCTCAGAAGTCATTGTTTGTCACGACCACCACCTGCTATCCACCTCATTTTACAAATGAAGACACCGGAACTTGGAATCCCAGTCGTCTCACTCCTAATGCAGCATCCTTTCCATTGGCTGCATTTTAGTCAATTCACTTTTTTGTAAGTTTCTGTCTAGCATGCAAGACATCATTGTGACCAAGGCAGAGGTTAATTTCAGACTGGGTACAACACAAAAAGTCATTTTCTATTAAATATAATGACCTCGTTTCTGCAGTGACTTGTGGCAAAACATGCTGTTTCATTTCCATTCAAGCGCATTCATTTACCTGCTTTCTATAATAATTTTACACCATGAGCTAAAATGTTAAAACCATTGGTTACATTACTAAACACCCACAATGGTTATTAGGATTCTTCATGCAGAACGAAACAGAAATAAAAATAAGGATTTTAGAAGAATGAAAATATAGGCCATTAAAGTACATTTGAAACTGTATTCAAGTGCACAGAGGCTGCCTAGAGTCTGGAGCCAGCCATACCTGGCAGCAGTCCAGGTCTGCCTTATGGGCTGTGTGACCCGGGGCAAGTTACTTAACCCTTCTGTGTCTCAGGTACCTCCATAGTAAAGTAGGGGAAATAATAGGCAAGGTTGATGGGTGAGTGGAAGTGAGGATTATATACGTAGAGTACGTAGCACAATGCCTAGCATATAGCAGGAACTCTATGCATAGCAACACCTCCCCTTTTTTAATGTAGTGAAAATAAAGTTTGAATTCTTATGCATGTTTGGAGAATCTTCCAATTTTGGGAATCTGCACCCCGACCCACTCAACCCCTGGCCCAGAGAGTCAGGAGTACAAATTGTTTCCATACTTATTCAGCCTGAACTTTGAAAAATGTTGTTGCTGAAAATAGAAAAGTACTGGCTGATAAAGGGGAACAAGATTATGTCTTTTGCAGGGACATGGATGGAGCTGGAAGCTGTTATCCTCGGCAAACTAACACAGGAACAGAAAACCAAATACCGCATGTTTTCACTTATAAGTGGGAGCTGAACAATTAGAACACATGGACACAGGGAGGGGAACAACACACACTGGGGCCTGTTGGGGGATCAGGGGGAGGGAGAACATCAGGGTAAATATAGCTATGGGTGTGGGCTTAATACCTAGGTGATGGGTTGATAAGTACCACCATGGTACACTTTTACCTATGCAACAAACCTGCATGTCCTGCACATGTATCCTGGAACTTAAAATTAAATTAAGTTTAAAAATATACAAATAACATAAAACAGAAAAAGAAAGATACTGGCTAATATGTATTGATGCAGGCCGTGGGAATACAGAAGGAACAAAGGAAACTGGCAACTCTAACATGAAGCACTTCTAAGCACGTGTGTCTTCTTAAAGACTCTCTTATGGTTTGGACCAACGGTTGACTGAAGTGGAAGTGATAAAGGTCTTTTGTCTGCAGCTGACTTTCAGTTAAGTCATTGAAGTGCTCAGTACCTTGACTTCTCCTGTTCTCAGAGAAAGGGAGAGGGAGTGGAGGTAGAGAAAGGAACATGCTAAGATTTAAATTTTTTTCCAACTTACCATGAAAATGCTCAAACACAAAATGTAAAAGGATAATTCTAAAACTTAACCTTTTGCCGTATTTGCCTTCTCTGATTCTCTCACTAGATAGGTTAAAAGATCAATGGATAAATAGATAGCTAGATAGTAAGTAGCTATATTAGGTGTGCTCATAGCTACTGGGGTTTCATTGCTTCTATGTCCTTTTGGTGAACAGTGCTAGGAGTATGTATTTTAATTCAAGTTTGTATTGACATTTCTAATTCAAATTTAACATTGCAGAGTTATTTCTTAAGTTTTTAAAGTATTTGTGTCTCATTTTTCTTTCACTGAAAATCTTGTTTTTTTAATAGCAATATATTTATGTATGTGCTTTATCTTAATATATAACCAAAGACATTTCATGATTATAATTCCAATATTAATTAGTACTTACAATAAACCAGGCATACACTTGCATGTCAATGAAACTTCCTCAAAGCCCAGGTCAGCCTCCTGCTACCTGAGCAGGTCAGTTCTCTTTGAGCCTGTTTCCTCCTGTCTAAGGTAGGAATAGTGATGACTATTATATTGTTCAGAAATCTCTCAGTTGCAAGCGATGGAAAACTCACCTCAAAAAGTCTTAAGCGACCAACAAAAGGAATTTATTTATGTAACTAGAAATTACAGGATTAAATGAAAATCCAACCTGAGAGAATCCAGGTTCTCAGATGACATCATAAAGCTTGAAACTCTAACTTTTAGCTCTTTTCTTTTTCTGATGACTTGATTTCGAAGTGTTTCCTTTTCTTATCATCCTTTAGCCACTGCAAGACCATTATCTTGTGAGCTCCAAGGAAGTCCTCATCTGAGGAAACTACTGTTGGTGCTTGAACACTAAATTATGTAGTCATTAGATTGAGAACCTTAAACTCAGTTGCCAGGGAAAAGACCCAAAGTGCAAAGAGCCTACCATCTACCAGATGCTCTGCTAGACATGTTAAGTGATCTTCCTTATATCCCTATGAGAAAGGAATCATTCCCATTTTACAGATGAAGAAACTGAGCCTCAGTGAAATAAGGTGACTTGTTCATGGCCACAAAGCCATGGAAGGATTCAAATCCTTCTATATACAGTACATGCCTTCTGGAAATGGGGACAGGACAGCACAATATACAAACTATATGTTTAGTAAAATAAGGAGCTCCCAACTTCCATATATGCACATGTAGTGCCAGCTTTAGAGAGCCAGGACTGCATCCTACTCATCTTAGTGTCTCCAGAACCTAGTGCACCTTAGCACCTAAGGGCTTTTGGGGAATGAATGTGAGTTGAATGAGACAGAACAGTTATTCTATCCCGCTACCAACTGTGATTATACGTAGCCACATCCTTAATCACAGGACATAGATTTTAGTTGAACCCCAGTGTTAGGAAACTAACACTGAAGCAATTTTCCTTATTTAAGGTGTGTGTGTGTGTGTGTGCGTGTGTGTGTGTGTGTGTGTTGTAACTTCTCTTTAACAAAATATGCTTCGTTGTCACTTTGGTGATTGCTAATTGATTAAACACACCTGGCTCCACTTTGCCTGTTAGACAAATTTAAGCCCAACTCACAGGTCTGGAATACCCTCAGCTGGTTAACTAGTGCATCTCCCTATATTTAGGCAAGGAATTCATGCACATCTTTCTAGACTGGTGTGTGTATAGCATATGTTTAGAGAGCTGCTAAGAAGAAGAAGCTGACTTTTTATAGCTGTTGTCTAGTTATGAAAATTTAAAAGAAATTAATGAAATTTTAAGAACAAAAGAGGACATGAGTATTTACTGAATTCCACCTCCTCGTTTTAATTGTTGGTGAAACAAAGGCTTAGAGAGGAAAACGGATAGGGAGTCAGTGGAGTTCAGAGAGAGACCTGGACACAGGATCCTGCTGACAGATTCATTCATAAAAATGTTTACTGACAAATTTATAGAGATAAAGGAGAGTGACAGTTGCCAGGGGCTGGGAGGAGTAGGGAATGGGAAGTTGTTTAATGGTAGCATGAGTTTGGGAAGACAAAAATTTTCTGGAGATAAATGGCAGTGATAGTTGCAGAACAATGTGAATGTGCTTAATGCCACATTACTGAATACTTAAAAATGGTTCAAATGGTAATGATAAATTGTATGTTATGTATATTTTACTATAACAGTAAAATCATAGATGTACAAAACCCTTATTGTATACATCAGGCACTGTACTTGATGCTTAGGATAAGAAAAGAAAATGCTGCTGCTGCCTCTAGTGGCGGAGGCAGACACTGATCAATTCATCCCCATACATAATGGCAAACTGAGGGGTCTCTCCCACTCCCAGTGGAAAAGTCGAGGAAGTAGAGAGGACTTGCGTCATGGGAACCTGGTCTGCGCTGGAAGGTCAGGGAAACTTGCAAAGAGAAGAGACATCTCTGCTGAGGTCTGAATGGGAGAAAGGAGTTGAGCTTTCTAGGCAACTGGAACAGCATATGCAAAAACCTGAGCGTGGTGCATTTGAGAGACTGTAAAACACCAAGGTGGTGGGGAACAAGGGGGCCTGTAGTGAGTCAGCATGGGGAAGCAGCCAGGTCCTACAGGGGGCTCTGCAGGCCCTGGCAAGTATTTTGGTCTTTATCCTAAGAGCCATGGGAAGCTTTTGCTGTGTTTTAAGTACTAGAAAGATGTATCAGATTTGCCAGGTTTTCTTCTCAATCTCTTCATCCTGTGGTGTGACTGTCAGAGGAGAGGCCAGCATAAGTGGATGAGGAAGGACTGAGGATACTGCGGTAATCCAGGCAGGAAATGATAGCTGTGTGACCTGGCATCTGCTGGTGGAGATGGAGAGGAGTGGACAAGCAAAAGGTACTTGGAAGGTGAAATTGACAAGATGGACTTGTTTTTGGGGGATAAGAATGAGGGAGACTGAATGGGCTCAAGGAGGGTTAGTGACAGTGCAGGCATTAAATTCGAATATGAAAGAAAAAACCATCTTATTAAACAGCATTTTGATTGTAGCAAAAATTAGCATAAATAAGAAGAAAATTACTAGTAATTCCACCACTCAAGAGAGAACTCTTGTTATGTACACATATATGGATATGTGTACATTTTTTCAAAAACAGGATCATATTGAACATAGTATTTTGTAATATGCTTTTTTCACTCAACAGGATGTTGTGAATATATCTTCAAAGCAAAAAATACCACTTCCACAAGATCATTTTTTCGGTACTGCTTGCTATTTCATCTTATAGCAAATCCATTTTCTTCAGCCAGTCAGCTAATGCTCAACATTTTTGGACATTTCTAACTTTTCACCATCCTAACAGCACTGCAGGGAATATTTTGTACTCAAGTTTTTGCCCAGATATTACATTCTTTCTGGATAAGTAATTAAAGAAGAATCATAGAGCCGGCGTATGCACATCTTTAAAGCTCTGAAACATACTGCCAAGCAGCCTTCCAGAGAAGTTGCACCAAATCACACTTCCACCAATAACAAAACACCTATAATGGCTGACAGGTACCAACCTTTATAAATGTGCCTTGCACTGTTCTGGTCACTTTACATATATTAATTTATTCATCCTCATAACAACACCATGAGAGAGATACTATTATCATACTTATGTTACATGTAGCAGACCAGTAGCCCAAGAAGATACCTGTTTCATCACACTTTGGTCAATATTGGGTATTATCTTTTCTGTTTTTTTCATTCTGGTGGCAAAAATGGTATCTCATTTCATATATGTTATATGAATCAATTTAATATTTCCAATAGCATTTTGGGTTCCCATATCATTCTTTGTATTATACAAAAAGAGAAAAGAAGTCTCAGAAAGTTAGAGTGATGTGTGCAAAGCTACACATCTAGTAAATGGTAGAGCTTGGATGTGAATTGCATTTCTTCTGATTCCACAGTCCATATCTTTCCTCCATTATCACACCACCTCTTCAGCGAGAGACTACGTTATTTGGAAATCTGGTCTTGTCCTTGAGTAGAAACTTCTAGAAGATTTCAGGATGCCAACCCAGGGAGCACTTCACTCTGACCCACTCCATTGAGTGTTTGATGATGGGTTGCCTGGGGGCTGGTGCAGAGGTTGCCTCATTGGCACCGTGATGTAGCAAGCACATCCAAAAATATGTTAGAAAAGAGAAAGGCCTTTGTAATGAGCCTGGGCCTCCCTTTGTCTTGTGAGGTTTTAACTACTGTAATTGCTTGTAGTGTGAAGTAGTGTTTTTTCATGTATCTATTTTTATTCTGTGTCTCTCTGCTTTTCTGCTTTTTTGTTTTGTTGTTAACTCACTTGATTCCTGTTGGGTATTTTTCCTGTGAATAGTATTGCCTCGGGAAAGCACACACTCTCACACACACACATACACACACATACTAATAATATGAAGGCTAAATAGGGTAGAATTTATTCTTTAAAAAAAACTAATGGTAAAATCTTCAGCAGATGACTTTCTAATCCATACTGTATTTAATTGGCTGTATTGAACCATACTACAAATTAAGTCTTCTCTGTAATTTATTCTGTCAGACAGTAACCCTCCAAACAATTTGATACTTCATTTAAACACTGGTAAATGGCTCATGGAAATACAAAGAAAAAAAGATTTAATGATGATCAGATAAGAAATTCTCTGTTCACAGAATGAATCCTGTGTGAAATGTTATGAATTAACCTGAATCATTTATTCATTGAACATGTATTGAGCATCCACCATATGTAGGGCTTATCTTAAGGTGACTTGGTCTTTCTTTCTTTTCTTCCTCCCCATTCATTTCCTTCATCCTGTACTTCCTTTCTTTCTTCCTCCCTGCCTGCCTTCCTGAAATATTATGTAACACTTACTGTTCAGAAGGTGCAGTATTAGGAGCGGGGGTAAGATTGAGAAGAACCAGACATGGATCTTTCTCTGAAGGGCCTAACATTCCTGAAGGAGAGAGAGAAAACATGTGCATAGATGTTCTCCACAAGGTCCTGTTCTCAGAACCTAGCTGCCTTCACACATTCAGTTCTTTCTGCCTAAAATGCCCTTTCTTCCTTATTTTCTGGAGACTTCCCATCTATCCTTGGAGCCTCAATTCAAGGTCACCCCCTTCGTCAAGCCTTCTTTGATGCCCTTCGCCCATTCCTGCCCCAAGCCTATGTGACACACTGGGCACACTTTTAATATAAAGCTTGTTGTATTATATTGTGATTGCTAGTTTCTTTGCCTACCTGTTTTATGAGATTGTGAACTCCTTGAAGAAGGGACTGTGTTTTATTCATCTGTGTAGCCATAGCACATAGCAGGAGACCAGCAACATAATAGGCACTCAATAAGTACACATGCTGTGAGTAACTGGATGAATGGATAAATGCGAAAGAAGTGCAAAGCATCCTGTGTAGAAGGACAAATATAATGCAGTGAGATCTAGGGATGGGAATTATTACTCAGGGAAATGGGGTATCAAGGTAGGTTCCTTGGATGGGCAACATGTCAGAGCTATGCCTTCCGTCATAGGTACACTATAGTTCTCTGAGCTGATGAAGCGCAGGCCAGGGCATCTGCAGAGAAAACCATGTGAGCAATAGCACAGAAGTGGGAAAGCACAAAATTCAAAGGGAGAGTAATGAGCTCCTCAGATTATTTGCAGCACAGGTGACCTGAAGTTCATGCATAGGAAGGTCAGATTGGATTGAGGACATTGATACCTGGATTGTCCTTGAAATTCTCTAGTGACAACTTTTATCCATGATGCAAAGAAGAGTTCAGGATGGGGAGAATACATAAAGCTGTGGCAGAGAGCTAGGGTGTTCCTGAAGGCTCTACTTTTAAGACAAATACCTGCTTTGATTTTGGCAGTAGTTTAATATCTAGACTAAGTTTTCCCAAGACAATAACGGTTTTCAAAAGGAAATGTGGAAGAGGGCAACCAGCATCTGCCTTTCCTTCACCCTCTGCCTCCCACTCCGGCCGGTATTCTCTGGCTGTTCTCCCAGCCACCTCCGGAACTACCTGCAAGGCCCCAGGAACTGACTGCAGAAGCACTCCTGGGATGGAGCAGTTCTTATGCCCTAGGACCATGGGCTGTGCCTCACCTTTCTGCCTCTGGCTGCTCAACAGGTGCCAGAGACAGCCAATTCCTGAGAGTAAACTTCAGGGCCATGCTGTCTTGACCTTTTTCTTTGAGAGCCCAGTGGCCAGCCTTTACCCCAAGCCCTCTGATTTATGACCCTCCCTGATCTCAGATACCTGCCTGAATCCAGAACATTCTCAGTTCTCTCCCCTTACCCAGTTCTCTTCTTCCCTTGCCTTCCTCATCCCAGCTTATCAAGGGATCATCTTTTTGTTGTTGGTTGAGGGAGCCAAAAGTCTAAGGAAAGGAGACTTTGATTCTGTGTAATCTAGTTTTCTTTTTTCAATGCTTTGTCATCCTGAGTAGGAAAAACACCTGGGTTTAGTATTGGTCCTGGCGTTTCAATCTCTGACCTTCAGTCCCTTCATGAATAAACTCAGGATTGATGTTTAAGATTCCAACTGTCTTTGATTGTGCTGATAAATTCTACTTGAAGACATGGGGCAATCTTGAGGCTCAGTGAACAAGAATTTGCATGATACTCTAAGTTTCTAAAGCGAATGTGATAATGCAATTGTAGGATTAGCAGAATTCTAATGTATTTGTATTTCTAAGTATCTATGTTACGTCTGCATGGTTAAGGTTGCAGAGAGGGAAGACATAGCCCCTCACTGACTCTTATTTCCGAATGAATGAGACACGTTCAGAGCAATCCTTTTTAACATGTCATAAAATTAACTATGAGAGAGAATAATGTTACAAATATCTTTAAGCACTTCACGCTCACACACACAGCTACACTCTGCAAGACAGTATTAGGTATCATCAGGCATTAAAAATGTTTTGATTTTAAAACACTTAATGAGGATTCCCAGATAAATTAAAACATCTCCATCTGCTGTCTTGCCTGGTAAGTGATATTTTACCATTGCACAATCATCTCCAAATCTAATTCCACCAGGAAGACTTCTAATCGCAGCTTAATTTTAGAGCAATGTTCTACTTGGCAATCAATAAGGCACTGTCATCAAACTTTGATTTAATAGGAAACGTGGATAACATTCTCCACATTATGCAGCGAGAGAGATACTTTTAGGAAAGGAAGAGAAGAACATCTTTGTCTCCCACTTTTCCCTGCTGCCTACCATTTTAGCGCACAAAAGCCTATAAATCAATGCCCCCATGTTGTGCGAATGTAAATCTCATCAATTTTACATCATTAACACCGTGAAAAAGCTACCACTGTTTGAGCAATTTTCCTCTGCTAGCTAAATATGTCCTCTTAATAAAACAAAAATTAATGGGTCCTAATTATTTTGCTAGCAAATATGTCCTTCTCTGCCAACTTATTTGTGTCAAAAACCATTAGACTTATACATTCGTTTTATTGCCACTGGAGGGACTAGGGTAACTGAGCAGTCATACTACCATTTAAGCATGATATCCAGTGGCCAGTGGGCAGCCTGGGCAAGTGTGAAGCCATAGAGAGAGTTCTAAGAGTAGTCAGAGAGGTTAGTGAATGATCAGACCCTGGAAGTTTAAGGTAAGTCAGAAAATTCTGCTGCCACAAATGATTTATAAGGTCAAATGCCTGGAAAGATTGCATCCGGCCAAGGGATGGACATTTTAGAAGATCAGTGGTCTAGAACTACGGCGATGACCATCGTGAAATCCAGAGGCCCACTGTGCCAGGAGGCTGGTTTTGTAGTGAGTGGTCCTAATGGCTTAAAAGGATTTGGGAAGATGGAATAAGAGCTTAGAGAGTATCTACTCCAGTGGTTCCCAATGTTTTCATAATTTTCTCTCTCCCTCCATGGACTCAGTAATGGGGAAGAATCTGTCTACCAAAAAAACTGCATTTGTAATCATCCATTTTCCTATTTGGACTATTTAAACCATAACTAAGTGCCAGTAAGAGAATATACTCAAATATGAGCTAAGGAATATTAGCAACACTAAGCTGATATAATTCCAAATAAATGGCCGGTGCAGTGGTTCGCACCTGTAATTTTAGCACTTTGGGAGGCCAAGGCAGGTGGATCGCTTGAGCCCAGGAGTCTGAGACCAGCCTGGGCAACATGGTGAAACCCCATCTCTACAAAAAAATGAGCCGGCTCTGGTGGCATATGCCTGTAGTCCCAGCCACCCAGGAGGCTGAAGTGAGAGGATCACTTGAGCTCGGGAGGTGAAGGTTGCAGTGAGGCAAGATTGCACCGTTGCACTCCAGCGTGGGTGACAGGGTGAGACCCTGTCTCAAAAAACAGAAATTCCAAATAAACTTGGCATTTTCATTTGCATGCACATAGAAATATGTAGACTTATTAGGAATAATTACATATTTCTGTTTAGTTTTTTGAGATTTTGAAAATTGCATGGGGCCTCTTTTTATTACATTTAATGACCCCTAAGGATCTAGGGCTTTGGCTTATGACCCATTGATCTGGTACATACCTCCCATTTACTAGAGGGTTAAACTTGAGGTACACAGGGGTACAGTGGGTGCCTTGTGTTTACACAGTAGCTGGAATTCAGGCCTCCTGATACCCAGTATAATGAAAAGGCTCTTTATAAGGACTTTAAACATACCATAAGCACCCAGATGAATATATAAGCCTTTACAGAGTACTGTTGAATGAGGATTGTTTCAAGTAGGTTTAGTATAGGAAAATAACCGTTAAGATCACCATTACCCGATAGGATGGTGAACATTATTTGTTGAAGCTCAGATAATGAAGGCATGAAGGTGAATTATAAAAGATTTTCAAATTACTAATTATCAATCTCAGTTTACTTTAGTTCAACAACTATAGGCCAGGCATAGTGCAAGGTGCTAGGATGACAGAGATAAGGAAGACAGAACCGGGTGGGAAAGACAGACAAGGAATCATGTAAATATATCAGAGAAGGAAGACCTGTGAGAGTAAGGAAGTTCGTTCCAGGCACGAACATTGGAGGAATTCATCAGTTCAGTGTCATTAGAAAGTAAAGTTCTACAGATACACAAATGAGGGTGGAATTATTTCTCCAGGGAGACAGAAGGCATGCCTTGTTCAGAGGAAGTTTCACTCAGGTGGTACTATTTCATACGGCCATTGAAAGAGAAAGAGGATTTGGGCAAGTGGATAAAAAGAGTTGATGTTGCAGGCAGAGAGATCTACCAATGAAAAGCCTGAGATATGCATAGCCCCGCCTCTACCCCCAGTGGTGACTTTGGGCAAAACAGAGAAAGGCATTTATTCCTCAACACACTCTATCACCATCAGCTGGAAAAGTGTTGTCACCATGCACATGTATAGTTCTATGAATGTTAATAATACTCCCTGGAGTTGTGTAGTGTAGCTCCTCCACCACAGCACACACGGTCCCCGAGTATTTAAGTAAATTAAATATCAATCCAAAAGTTGGACTGGGATGTGTCATGTAAAACGATCAAACAGAAGCCTACCCATTGAATTAAACTGGCTGGCTCTAGCAAGCTGAATAAAGCCACTGTTGCAGATGCTTATTCAGCATATGAACAATCCTATGTTTCTCTCTGGTCACAGCATTAAGACCATAGAGGGAAGCCTCCATTTCTCAAGGACAGGCATAGCTCTTTTTCTTTCCATCTGGACTAAACAGCTTTTCCAAAGCCCTTCGGGCCTGTTCACACGTAGCTGAAACACATTTCTTATTGATCAACAGCTCGAAGGGAAAGTCCCCTGAAATATGTTCTTCCTTTTTTTTCTCTGATAGGCCCTTCAGCATCATCATGCTGTTCATGAAATATCCTACATTGCAAAGGACATTACAGATCACCGGGCCTTTGGATATGTTTGTGGGAAGGAAGGGAATCACAGATTTGTGGCCATAAAAACAGCCCAGGCGGTGAGTATCCCTATCCAAGAAGGGAGTCTTTCCTTGGAACTCTGGGGGGACAGTCCAGTGACTCCGTTGGTCTTTGAGGGCCCACTCTCAGATATGACCAAGCAATGTATTTCCACTGAAGTTGATGCTCACATTCCCATCTAGAAAAGATAAACAGCCTTGGAGCAAGGAAACATGCTCATACCCATCCAGTTTTTTCTGTTTTTTTTTTTTTTTTTAACTAATGGGTATTTCCTAATGACTAATTATTTTCCTTTCTGGTTAAACTGGATGGAGGCACCGTATACAAATAAGTTTCCTTGCGTTCATAGCCTCATTTAAAAAGAAAATAAGAGAAAACAAATAGCTGTTTTGCATAAGGCCTACCCTAATTTTATTGTATTCTAAATCACTAATAAATAAAAGCAATGCCTTTTATGCTTATGATTATTATGAATTTGCAAATATAATTAGTTGAAGAAATGAACTTTAGCCTAGATGCAATTTGCTAAACCAGTATAAACAAAGAATTAATTAAGAATGGAATGCTTTCAGATTAATAGAAAAAGGAAGGGCTGCGGGTTGTCGCCGCAAAAACAAAAATTTGTTGCTGCGTCTCAGTACCATTCCCTTATGATGTGCCTTACTACCTTTCATCCCAGGCTGAACCTGTTATTCTGGACTTGAGAGATCTCTTTCAACTCATTTATGAATTGAAGCAAAGAGAAGAATTAGAAAAAAAGGCACAAAAGGATAAGCAGTGTGAACAAGCTGTGTACCAGGTATACCTGTGAATTTATCCTTGCGCTGGAGATCGGGCCTTCAAATAAACACATGTAAAAACTGACAGTCAGGCCTTCTCTTCCTGCTGCCAAGTAGAAATAAACGAAGATGAAAGATTCCTGTGTAAATTACAGGACCCAAAGCAAGCCATTAGAAATTATTCCTTATTCTCTTAAACTCTAGACATGTTAGATGAAGTGAAATCTCGAATCCAGAGAAAGATTTCAGGGGTGGAGGACCCAAGAAACACAATTGCTTTTGCTGTTGTTAACAGTGCGGGTGGAGGTGGGAGTGGCTCTAAGGATTTTGACTTTTTTGTGTTTTTTCTACCTTGATGGCCCACCAGCCTCTTCTGCCCAGAGCTGGTTTCTTTACTGTCCTGTAATTTCTGAATGCAGTCTCACATCTCTTCCTTTATGTCCTCTGCTTTTCACCCTCCCTCTCCTTACTCTGCAATAGACAATATTGGAAGAGGATGTTGAAGATCCTGTGTACCAGGTAATTTCTGAAACTAGTCGGGGTTTTAGATTCAAGAGTGACTAGACCTGTGCCAGAGCCATTTTGTCAGAAACCTGAAGAATCCACTGACTGCAAAACCTGGAGAGAGACCAAGATTATTTCTGAGGGTGAGGGCTGCCAGCCCCTCCAGGAGCAAATTTCCATAAAAACTAACAGAAGTTTGGCCGGCATCGGTATCTTGGGATTTGGAGATCCGCTTCTCCCTTCTTGCCTCTGCCTCGGCCCCCTTCACAGTCTGTAAAAGTTTGATCCCAGAGCTGAATGTTTTCAAGAGTCTCTTGAATATTCTGAGTTCATTAGAGAGAATATGAATAATGAGGTGGCTTCTCTGAGTTAAGAACCAGAGGTGGGGGCTGACATTTTGGTAGCATTTTAGCACAGACCCAAAGGATGGTTTCTAAGCTTTAGAAAGGCTATGAGGAGGACTCTCTGACCCCCGATGGGGCAAGCTGACCCTCCAATTACCTGGCTCATGCCATAGGAGCTGTTGGGAGGAAGGAAAGAGTGACCCTAAAGACACTTCTGCCCCTAGCTTTCTCTGGACTCTCTTCAAGATCTGCAGCTCAGTGGTGGGTAGGGAGATGATCTCTCTTGAGGTCAAGCATGTGGTCTGTTCAAACAGAGATGCAGAAAAAAAGGGAAAAGACAGCCTCTCCCTCCCCTGTGCTTATTCCCAAGGTGAAAAAGAAGCCCAAAAAATGACTTATTGAACACAAAGGAAAATCTTGAACTTACACTTCTAACTGGATGCATAGGTGTTCTTTGTGTGTGCATGTGTGTGTGTGTCACATATGTATTTTATATAAATGCTTAGTTTCACACAAAAATCTGGTACTGCTACAATGAAAGTAAAATAATGTAGATGACTTGAAGTGGAAAAATATCTCATGTATACGGCAAACAAAAGCCAAAGATGCACGTAATGACGTGCTCTTGCTTTAGAATGCTGAGGGCCGAGGATTTGTATATAATATGAGCTTCACCCCCTTGCTCACTGGCTTGCACAGAATGAAGAATAATAGCCTTTTTGAAATGTCACAGTCCCAAAACATGAACTTGGAAAAATCGATTTAATGTATTTAAAAGTGAGAACGCAAAATAAGGTGATATTTATGGGATAAAGGAGTTTGGGGCTTCTGAGCTCTTCAGAGTTTGTTTAGGATTTTGAACCTTAGGGAAAAAGGGATGCCCCTCAACTGTAACCCATACATTACAAAGTTTGGGATCCCAGGCATTCCAGTGAGATAGCATTCTCACTGAGCAATACCAATGTATTCAGGTATTACTGAGACAAATTGCCATTGAATGAAGAGGTTATATCTCCAGAAAGATCTGCAGAGGCTCGATGCAATCACTGCTGAAATACTGACCAGCAGACCTCTGCAGTTTTCCTTATGAAAGGCAGGAATGTACAAGGTACATTTTATTTCAATAATTTAGTTGTGTCTTTAAGGTGTTTTCTCTTGTGCCTGCTTCGTTAATGCTCGCTGTGATTTGTATCTTAATTTCCAAATGCTTGTTTTACCTTTCTTCTTTTTCACCTCTGACCTTTCCTTTCTGGCTGCTCCTGTAATAGTACATTGTGTTTGAGGCTGGACACGAGCCAATCCGTGATCCCGAAACGGAAGAAAACATTTATCAGGTATAAAATTGCTTGCCTCTCTTACCATTGCACCACTACTAGTACATGCATAAATGTACTGATAGTCTAAAGAACCAAGGGTTCTGTTGGTCATTCCTGGCTTGTTAAAATACCTTTGAGTGAAATGGCTTCTAGTTCCCCAGCAATTTACCAGTAGTTTTCATGCCTTGTTGTTGATGTTTAATAGCTAGTTAGGTACAGTGTTTTACTTTTGAATGGATCTTAACTATTTTAAGTAGAAACAAAAATAAAATGTTCCATTTTACTAAAGTAATACATTGGAGAGCTGGTGTCCATTATACAATTAGGGTCCTTTATTTCTCAAAAGAATGTGCTTATCAAATTTCTTAAAAAGCCAACTCCGCTACTGAAAATAAAGCACAAATTTAATTTCAAATGATGTGTGAAAACAACATTGAGAATATTAACTGAATGAAAGTACAGCTAAAGGCTTTACCCTTATTTTAATTGTGCAAAGAAAACTGAACTTTTTAAACTCACTGAATTCTCATGAAGATGTTATAAACTAGATATTTTAATTCTGTTTTTATAGGGTGAGACTCAGAGAGAGAAGCCGAGTAGCTTTCTCGGGGTTGTACAACTATTTAGAGCCAAGATTCAAACCCAGGCATGGGTGTGAAGGCGAAGCTCTGCCTCCTTCTGCCATGGTCTTCCACCAAAGTGTCTGTGTAACTGCCGTATAGCAGCACATCAAATAGATATGATGACCTGCAACTTTTCACTCATTAGTATTGTAGTCCCAATTTGAAATAGAAACATTATAGGGGAAGAAAAAAAATTTGATGTATTTAATAAGTGATTTTAATTTTGTTAGTTGTGTGGCCTATTCTGCCTTGGGTGTGTATTACTTGTGTAATAAAAGTAAAACATATTTTCAATTTCTGTCAAATGCATAGAATTCTAAATGACTAAAATATAATGTTAGTTCTACCAACAACTTTGTTTAAAGTTGTCAGCCTTGTTGAATAATATTTTCTCTCCACTGGATCTATCTGGATTCCATTCAAATGTGAGGTTGTGCTTTGAGACTTTTTTCAAAGTTGTGGCTTACCAAGTATCTTTAATAAGAAAAGTTGCGTTTGTCCTGAGTGTCAGATTTTAAAGTATATACAACCTTACAGTATCTGAATATGAGGAGGAAAAAACCATTAACCAATCATCCTAAGAAGAGAGGGCCCCTTTTAAATAAAAGGAAGCTTTGCAGTATTACAGGTTTCTGAATCCAGACTTAGCTATAGTTGGCAGGGCTCCCATTGAGCCTTGTAGGATTGCAGTGGGGGCGGGGTGGGGAGGGAGACATCCTAGTGTACTGGAAAGACCTGCTTTAGCTGGTGGAAAGCTGGGTTGTAGTCCAGGCTCTCTTACCAACTACCTTTGGCTAAGTGGTAGTGGGCAAGGCACTTACCTTCTCAGAGTCAGTTTCTCCCTTGATAAAATAAGCGAACAATTGTTCCCTAACTCACAAGCTCATGTGTAGAATGGAAAGAAGAGGTGTCATCATGGGTCACAAAATGTGGAGTCTGGCTGTGTGGATTCAGTATTTTAGTACAAGTATCAACTCAGCCATTAATTTAACTGTCAAGTATTTTTTTTTCCTCTGGGCTTCAGTTTACTCATCTGTAAAATGAGCAAGTAAAATACAGGGCTCTCTCAGGCAAGACCCTTTTCTGTTTTTTGCAATTACCACTTTACCATAGGACTTTGATTTTTTTAGAGAAGCAGGTTAGCTTGTTTTACAGGATAATAAGACTCAGAAATGGTGGAGGTGGGAAAATTTGCGTGTGCACATGCGCTGATGGTGAGCCAACTCTGTTAATGGGGTTTAAGTGCAATATCTTATCTCTCACAACAACCCCATGTGGCTTGAATCATTATTCCCACCTTACAGATAAGGAAAGTGAGGCTCACAGTGATAAGGTAACTTGCCCAGGGTCCCAGAGCTAGCAATAGGTAGAGCCCCCACTGCAGGTCCCTCTGACCTCTGTAAATAAAGAAATAAATCCTAAGGCTGCTCTCAGCTCAGAATCCCCTGATTCTGAGTTTCACAATTCGATTCTAAGTCCCTTTCAAGTCACTATCTAAAAATCACACTTGTTTTAACAGCTCTGACCTCTAGATCTTCCCATCTGTCCATCATTAACAGGAAGCTACCATTTAAGGGAATGAGTATTTTATCTCCTTCTATTGGAAAGGCCTTTGGTCATTCTCTTCTCCTGCTCTGCCAGTCTGCTGGGGCTCAATTTACTTAATAAGAGATAAGCTCTTGGGCCTGAAGATAAGGCTGGGCTTTTAAGGGGCTGCTATTAGGCGCCTCATTTTTTTTTTAAGGGCTTGTAAGTGTTCCATAGCTATTTCTCCTGAATTGCAGTGTTTGTTAGTACTTCAGCTTGGCCCAGCCAGTGGTCTCAGCTTTTATTCACCTCCTTGCTTTCTGCAGTGAGGCAGACAGTCCTGGAGACCTTTAACTCTTTTGTGAACTTAAGTGGAGAACATAATTTTTGTATCTCAATTTCCTGGGCTATGAAATGGGGATAATATATTCTCTGCTCCTAGCAGTGATGTGAAAACGTAAAACGAGGAGGAGAGCAGTTGGTTCATAGTAGGTTCTGTGTAAACGTGAGTTTCCCCTCCTTCCTTGCGTGTTGTCAGTTTCAGATGCTGTTGAAGATGTCTTATGATCATGTTTTAAGTGAAATAGAACATAACTTGCTCACCACATGTTGTTGGAGAGCCTAGCAGAAATCCTCAAGCGTGCTTCACTTTCCTATTTATAACTCCAACAAAAGGGATACAGAGGCTTTTGAGTAAATGTAACCTCTTTTTTCGAGGTTTTTCTAATAGTCTTGTTTTCCCAGCTATATTAATAATAATAATTGCCTTTTGCTTTGCATGCCTCAGAAAAAGTTATCGGCTGTGTTGAAGTTATCAGCCTCCCAATACAAAACATTTTTACACATCACTTAATTTTGATCCTTCCAATAATGGTGACATAGGAAAAACAGCTACAATGACTATCATTTTGAACATAAGAAAATCAAGTTCCCCCAATTGAGGTGCTGAATACAAGGTCAGAACCTCTGATTCTAAATCTAGTGTTCTTCAATGCCTGAACAGGCTTCCTATATAAGCAAGATTTCAGCTTTCCACATGGTCATTTTCCAAGTTCATTCATTCAAAAACTACTGTTAACCATCCAATCCTTGTCAAGTATCGTTATTTTTAAATGATGAGTCTCCAGGAAATGTTACCCAACAAAGCCTGGAACTGCCTCTCCACACTATTAATTAACATGCTGCCAAAATAAAAGTAAAAGTGTCTTCTGTATGTATAGTACGGAATGTGCTGTTTTTAGAGTAATTTAACATCTATTCACTTACACACAAAAAAAAGATTATTTATAGAACAAATAAATGACTGGACACTGGGAAATCACATGCGTCTGGCACGGGGATGAGATGGTGACCATGGCACAGCCCTCACCCTCAGAAATTTATGTATAGCCCCCTTAGATGCTCACAATGGGCAGATGGGGCAACTGAAGTTCAGAGAGCAAAGCGACTGTCTGAGTCGCAGCCTGTGGCAGACCCAGGATTTGGAACTACCAGTCTTCTGGTTCCTTTTGGTCTGAAACTTTTATGTCTCTAAAACATTGTGTTACTGAAGCCTTTTGTGTAAACAGAATGGTACAGCTAAGCAGAGATGAGAGCCAGGACCATGCACCTTAGCACTCATGGGCTGAATGCTTGGCGATTAGGCATTTCTTTGTTTCACCAATATTTATAGCTGTGGATACAAGGATAATAAAATACCCCAACCTGCCCTCAGCAAGCTTATAGACCCTGGAACAGTTACAATGTGATGCAATAATTCTCATGATAAGATAAAGCACACTTTACACTCTATTTCAGTAGTCTGATTACTTTTCCATCTCCCCCAATAAGACAAGGAGCTCTGTTAAATCAGGGGCCATATCCATCATGTTCACCATCACTGTCCCAGGGAACGCGTGATGCATGACACATAATACGTGCTTAGCAATTTTTATTTTTTAATGAAAGAATGCACCAGAGGTTACCAGAATACAGGGGAAGGCTCCAAACAAGGCCTAGAGAATCAAGTGAGGCTTCCAAGAAGATATCCCAGCTGAGATAAATCTTAAAGGACAAACAGGCAGATTGATATCTCACCCATGGGAGAGCCAAGTAGAAAAGCGTTTTCAATTATGCACAGTTTGAGTTTATCCATTCCACTGCTTTTTCTCCATTTTTAGGGATAATTGAGAGGCAGCTGCGGTTCAACTGTGCTAAGTGCCCGTAGTGAGCAGTGAATTACGGGCAACAGAATGTTCTTCATTTTTCTCAGTAAAGGTTGAGCTAGTAAAAACAAAAGTGAGGGCTGGTAATTTATTGGCCCTCATTAACAAGGACTCTGTAGGCATTCTTAGAGGATTTCTTTTAGATGGAGCTCAGTTATCAGGAGCAAAGAAACGACATTCTTCACTGGCTACTTGCACAGTGAAGCTTGCAAGATCAGCTCTGGAAGTGTACCACTGACACGGCCATGCTCACTCAGTCCTGTTTTCTGCAAGAGTGTAGATGAGCTTCTGGGAACATAGGATGTGATGTCAAAGAAAAGGCCCACTTGAAACAACTGTCTGAATAGTATAGCAGTCAAATGGCAAACTCCCTGGGCTCAAGCTTTTGGCTTCCCCATTCACAGACTGCACTCATGGAGTGAGTTGAATCACACAAACTACTCTGTCCAAGGGCCTCAAGGTCACAGGTGTTCTAGGGCAAATATCTCTACTGCCAGAGATATTTTTCTCCTCTGCAACATGGGGCCAACTGAGTTCTTACCTGAAAGACTTGTCTTGAGGATTGCATGAGAATGTATGTAAGACACAAATGTTTAGAACAGCGCCTGGCACATAGGAAGCACCCAGTCCATGTTAGCTCACATTATTAATAATAGATGTCTTGTTTGGCCACCAGAAAGAGCTGGGTTTGAACCTGGTCACTTACCAGCTTTGACGATTTGGGCAAAGTCCCTAACATCTCTGAGCGTCACTTTCTCCTATTTAAAGTAGAGATGATACTACCAATTTCTTAGAGTTATTGCAAAGATTTTAAGTTAAATGAGATGAAAAATGTCAAAGGACCTAAGGAATAAGCTCAAATTCTTACTTCTTATAGAACAATGGTGTAGTTAGCTAGCTCAAGCCCAAAAGATACTTTTCCTTCACTATTCCCCACATTCCTCTATCATACGTTTACCATATGTCTCAGCAGACATTTACTGAGAGCCTACTGGGTGTTAGGCACTATGCCTGCTCTTGAGGAGCTCCCAATATGATGGAAAGAAAGGCATGTTGTCAGACCATTATAAAACCACTGCTGGCTGGGTCCTGCAATGGGGGTGTGAGCTAAGCTGTGACAGTTCCTGGGAAAGGAACAACTAATGGGTGCTTCCAATCTGGAATCTTTCAGTGAAAACCCTTGGTTGACTCATTTGAAAAGTAGTCAACATATCCACTATCGTTAGTATCATAAGATGTGTTCGTATATATTTAAATGATGTGTCAGTAACTAAAGTAATTCTTCTAACACATTACAGTATTATGGTATGTAATAGTGTTGTGTATCTAATATCCATTTTCTTACTCCATCCTCAGAATAACCTGAGTAAGAGGCAGAGCTGATAGTAGTGAAGCTCAGAGCTCAGTGACCTGCTCAGCCTGTCACAGTTAGCTCATAACAGTGAGACCAGATGGATGAGTAAGGGAAGGGAGGAAGATGCAGATTAATGTTAAACGCCCTCAAGATCTTCTGCGTACTAGGCCCACACTTTCCATACCACTCGTGGGCCTTTTTCTTCAATGAAAACCTTCCATAATTATCAAATGGCTTGTATCTGATCCCAGTAGAAGCTGTGCTTTGTGCTAGGATCTTGATATTTGCTATATTTTAAATAGCCCAGATCTCAGCCTCAGCATTGAACAGTTTAAGCTCAGCTGCAAACTGTTTTTAATCACTTCAGGAACAGTATAGCACCTCCCTACGCCTCATTTTTGTCTAAGGAAATGAGGATTTTTTTTTTTTACCGCATGACTTCTGAAGTCTATGTAAGTTTCTAGTCTTTGATTCTGCGAGAAGCCCAATGGCAGAGACGACCTATAAACCTTTGTTAAATGATGCCCACTCCCTGTCCCCATCTGATGCTCCTAAGGGAGGGAGCCTGGCTTGATACTTTCACAATTAGAGCAGGTTCCCATGGGCTTGTCCCTGGGGCCATTCTCAGGCACCCTTAGCCAGCTTGCAGTTGAAGTCTGGTTGCTTTGTTCTTTGAAATTGGAGTACCAGAGTGTTTTGACTGTGCTGAATTTAATTTTTCCATAGGTTCCCACCAGCCAAAAGAAGGAAGGTGTTTATGATGTGCCAAAAAGTCAACCTGTAAGTGTAAGTACATCTCCTCTCCACTGCCAGGTTTCCGTGACCTGGATTCACACTGAGGCTGTCTACAGCCTGCGGAAGGAAACCCTTCTCCTGGAATGAGTGTCATGGCCCCACATGTTTCTGCTGGGGACTGCATGCTGGGGCATCTTCAGTGGGCCAGAGGAAGGAGACATGAGGCAGAAATGGTAGCACTGAGGAAAAGTTGCCAATCTGGATGAAGGTCTGGTCCCATGAGTGGGAGTGAGTTGAATCACGTGAACTACTCTGTTTAAGGGCCTCAAGGTCATAGGTGTTCTAGGGCAAAAGTCTCCAGCCATGGTTTAGAAGAAGTAATTCTTCTAACACATTACAGTATTATGGTATCTAATAGTGTTGTGTATCCAATATCCATTTTCTCACTCCATCCTCAGAATAACCTGAGTAAGAGGCAGAGCTGATAGTAGTGAAGCTCAGAGCTCAGTGACCTGCTCAAGTGGAGGATAGTGTTTCTGTTGTGGAAAGAGAGCTGCCCATCTAATTTGAAAGTGGTTGAGAAGTTTCAAAGGGACAGTAGGAGAGGCTGGCCAGGGCCTTTGGGGTATACAAAAGTTCAGCCAAAGCGTGAAAATTTTGGAAAAGGTCATATGCAATGGGCTTGTGGAGAACCCAAGAGGCATACCACATTAAGGACAACAAGGTCCAGTGGATCTGGACCCCATGTGCCGGTGGGACTCCTGGGAATCTGGGACAGAACCAAAAATTCCCAGCTGTGTGGTACTGCTCCAAACCACTGAAGTGCCCGGAACTCATATTTAGGACCTACAACTGGCATGCAGAAGGCAACCTCTATACATAATTCAGGCAGCTCTCGGGAGCCAGTGAAGGCTCTTGAGCAGGGGGCACATGTGACTTTGCCACAGCCAAGGAACTAGCGTGTTCAGTCACTATTGACCTCATTCATCTCAACAATGTGTGGACAGAGAAGGTGCTTTAAAGTCAGGTAGACCCTCAACAATGTCAGCTCTGTCCCTGACAGCTGTTGTGAGGCTAAAATCGTTCTACCTGGAACACTGTTGTCTGTTCTGGACCCCACACTGTGAGAGACATAAAGGCACATCTGCATGTTTCACGATAAGATTAACAAGGGGATGTGAAACTCCATCCCATGAGGAGCAGCTGAAGGACACAGAAATGTTTGGCCTGGATAAAAGAATACATAGATATGAAATGGGACTCCAAAGGCCACTGTATGGAAAAGGGATTACCTTGTTCTGTGTCAGCCAAGTCCTGGAACTGAGACCAGTGGGTGGCACTATAAGAAAGTCAATTCCAGCTCAAAGTGAGGCTGACCTTCCCACAGTCAGAGCTGCTCATAGCTAGACCAGCTGGCACCTCAGACAGTGAGCTCACCATTCTTGGAGCTATGCAAACAAGACTTGCAGACCACTTGTCAGAAAGATTACCAGGGCGATTCACAAATTGCATAGGGAGATGGACAGGAGAGCTCTGGATGTCCCTTCCAAACCTAAGACTCTGTATTCTCCAAGTTGGGAGTCTTTCTGGTAGATTCTCATCCTTGCCTGCCCCCTTCTCCCTTTTCGTTTAGTGAAACTTCTTTCTGATCAATGTCCATTTCTATAACCCACTCTTCCAGGATCTTGAAACCACCCCCCCCCCCCATCTAAATATGGCTTCTGAAACCTATGCGTGTTAGTTTTAATGAAAAAGCATATCCAGATGCAGGCCCGTTTTCAAAAACCCAAGTCTAGGGACCCTATTCTGTGTTGTACTGTTCAGGGAAACAGCAGTTTTTCTCCCTGAGGCCTTTGCACCTCATCAGGCCCCCTTGTCACTGAAACATTGGTCTGCTCTTCGTGTTTCAACTGGTCCAGCCCCCATGACACCATTCTCTACAATTCAGTTTGTGCCTGAATTGCCACACTTGCCCCTAACAGGTTTAGATACGTAAGGAAACATGCTCCATTTGCTGCCTTGGTTTTTGTGAATTTATTAATGATTCTGGCCACACCATCTCCATGCTTAATAGCTCCAGAAAAAAAAAAAATCCAAGCTCCTTTGCCTGAGATACACAGGTGGGCTGCCTGAAGGTCCCCTCTCCAGCCTAGTGTCTAATCTACCTCCTTCTGGTCCAGCCCTACTGAAATCTTTTTGTGTTTGTTTGTTTTACCCCTCCCCACTCTCTCTGCAGCCTTCCCCCAGCATTCCAACTTTACTTCAAGCTTTGTGTTCTCAGGGGGACTTTCTGGACTTTCGCTCTGAACAGCAACAGCAGATCACTCCTGCCTTTGTGCTGTCATTCCTCTGCTAATAGCACTTTTTCCCTATTACTTCCTTGAATGTCCTGGGGTCCTCGTATTACCAGATGCAAGCCCATGGCCTGGTATATGAAAGCCAGGTACAACACGGCTGCTTTAGGAACATTTAATAAATATATGAAGGCCAGGGGCGGTGGCTCAGGCCTGTAATTCCAGTACTTTGGGAGGCCGAGGCGAGCAGATCATGAGGTCAGGAGTTCGAGACCAGCCTGGCCAGCATGGTGAAACCCCGTCTCTACTAAAAATACAAAACATTAGCCGGGCATGGTGAGGCATGCCTGTAATCCCAGCTACTCGGGAGGCTGAGGCAGGAAAATCGCTTGAACCCTGGAGGCGGAGGTTGCAGTGAGCCGAGATGGCGCTACTGCACTCTAGCCTGGGTGACAGAGCCAAACTCCGTCTCAAATAAAATAAAATAAAATAAAATAAAATAAAATAAAATAAAAAATATATGAATGACTCTATCTGTAGAAGGAATTTGTGAAAATCCCTGGTAGAATTAAGAAAGTCCCCATATTTCTGACTCCAAAATAATCATTAAGGAAATGCACTAGAAATTTTGCTTGCAAAATATCTGGGCTGCCTGAATGGCATGCAGTGGCTCCCAACCCGCTGTTCTCTCAGAGTCCTAGAACCAACTGATGGTAATGATGACTTTTCCATGAGCTATTTTCAACATTTTCAAAAGCCTAAGAGAGGTAAGAAGTAAAAACCTCAGGCTGTGGTATAGAGACAGGTGGCTGCAGTTGGAATCTGAGCTCCTCTTCCTACCTATGAGAATTTCGATATATTTCCTTGCCTCAGAGACTCAGTGTTCTTATCTACCAAAAAAGATGATTGAACATAATTAGAGGTCAGAGTAGTTTATGTATTGGAAAGTTGATCCCACTTGCCCAAGCCTCTCGGAGGTAATACCGAATACCACACACCCCTCCCTGCTCTGAGATCTTCCTGCCTTCCAGGATTCCCCTAGTAGACCTGCCTCTCTGATGAATGCACACTCCCTAGAGTACCTCTGTACTCTGAAAATCCTTGCCTCTCACTGTTTGCTCCTTCGCCACCTTTCCCTTAGCCAGAAAGACAAATACAAGGATAACTCAATTAGTGTATGTTAAGCAGCTTCCAGAAAGTCGTAAGACTTCCACAAATTTCCCATAAGAAGAGAAACTGCCCAGTGGCCTGTTACTCTAGGTTCCACCTGGTTTCATTTTTCTCAGGTTTAGGTCTGCACAGAGCCTGGTCTTCAGAGTGAGATCTGGGTGTAGTTCTTACCACAGCCACTTCCTGAGAGTCCCTGAGCAGCTTTTTGCATCTCTGATCCTCTATGTTATTATCTACCAAAAGAAAATAATACTACCTTTGCTTTGTTTGGAGGATTGAAGGAGACACTTATACAAAACCCTTAACAGAAGATGTGAATTAGATAACATGAGAACATATCCACATGTTGCTATTTCAGGCAGTGCTCTAGCAAACACTCCTCACTGAGCCAGGGATTGGCAACTATTCTAGGGGATTACACACCCTCTCTGGAAAGCCTTCCTTACCCCAAATAGAGTACTCAGTCTCTCTGGGCTACCTCTAATACTTCTCTTTGCACTGATCCTAATGGATTGTCATTTTCTCTTAACATATTCATGTGAACCATTGGACTTTGAGTTCCTCAAAAACCTTGGCAGAGATCACATCTCACGCGGCTTTGCAATTTCAGCACCTAGCATAGTGCCTGAAATATAGTTCCCGCTGAGGACTGTGGTAGTAACCTAAGCTATGAGAGATACCGGGGTTTGAATCCTGGCTTCATTACTGGCTATGTGACCTTGAGTGAGCCCTTTGCTCTATTCGGTCTTTGGTCTTCTCAGCTATGTAATGGTGATGTGAAAACCAAATTCACTGAGTTCTGAGAGTTTAGATTAATAACAGTGATCACTCAGTGTACATTAGCAATTAATAGACACTTACTAAATGTTTTGTTGCACTGAACTACTCACCAGGAGTTGTCACTTTTACTCCATACCTCCTTGCTTTGTAAGTCCGTTGAGGACAGGAATCATATCATATTCATGTCCTCATTACAGTAAGCATCGACACAGAGTAGCTGCTCAAGTGGTAAATGAATGAATAAAAATAAATGAACAAATGAATCCCTGTGTGAGGAATGAATGAACAAATGAATGCCTATAGACTCAAAGCTCATCTATTGTCCATTAAGTTCTTTTTCCTTCTGGGGCCAAAGACGCCGTGTCAAACTAAGACAGTGTTGGTTCTCAAAGAAGCCCTCTTGCCTGGCCCTTCTTCCACTTTGTGTTTAACCATTCTTTCCCTGTTCCACCTGCAGCCTCCATAAATATGTGTTGTTTTTTCTTCATAGCTTGGATCACCAGGCGGACAGGTGGCCTTCTAAACACAAACCCACACACTCACGCACCTGCATTCACTCCCCTCCTACATCAGGAACTCAGCATCAGGCAAAGCCAAAACATCTTGCTTCCTTGGCAGGGTTATTTTTGATTTTTGTTTTTTCATCCTACCTAGGGTTGGATTTTTCCTCCTGGGGCCCTGTGGAAAGTGTTTAAAGTCATTAAAACTCTTTAATTTTTCTGAAGAGGGGCCTGTAACTTACAGAATATTAGGGACACAATCTGATAGAATTAAGAATCAGTAGGCCGGGCGCGGTGGCTCATGCCTGTAATCCCAGCACTTTGGGAGGCCAAGGCGGGCGGATCAGGAGGTCAGGAGATCGAGACCATCCTGGCTAATACAGTGAAACCCCGTCTCTACTAAAAATACAAAAAAATTAGCCAGGCATGGTGGCAGGCACCTGTAGTCCCAGCTGCTTGGGAGGCTGAGGCAGGAGAATGGTGTGAACCCGGGAGGCAGAGCTTGCAGTGAGCCGAGATCATGCCACTGCACTCCAGCCTGGGCAACAGAACGAGACTCTGTCTCCAAAAAAAAAAAAAAAAGAATCAGTGTAGTCCTTCTACCCCAAAACCCCTGTAACTATTTGCATGTCACAGAAGGCTGGAGAAAGGATTTGGGCCCAGTGAATTTGCCAGATACTTGTCTGAAAACCGCTAAAATTTTTGGATTTTAAGAGTGTATCAGTTACATCCCTTGCCTTGTCTCAGATAATATGCAATTAGAGATGGTAGTTACATAGTCCATTTCTCAAACTACATTTGGCTACAGACTTTCTTTTTAAAAATTAAAATTTTATATAACAATATAATATATAAGAGAGACAGGCAAAAAGAGGGGTTCTATGCACTATCCTCAGTCTGTATATGAAATCACTACTGAACTGAATGAACGATAATCAACTGTTGAAATATAAAATACACTTTCTTCTGTGACCCCATTATTTTGTTTTTTGTTGCCTTCTCTACTTTTGGCCATTATCTGGGGAGATTCATCGTTCCAGTGGACAGCCCATTTAGTAACCTGGCCTCGCAATTTCATGACCCTCATCCCTTGAATCTTTTCACTAAGAACAGCCTTAGTGATCTCAGATCCTCAGGAACCCCTCCTTTCTCTCACCATGAGCCTCTGTTCATCCTTTTCTTCCACTCCAGTACTCTTGCTGAACTTTTTCTTCATTCAACATTCAAGATCCAGTTAAAATGTTATTTTCTGTCTTCAGCTTTCCTTGAGTCCCTAGGGAAATTGCTTTTTCGAATGTATTTCTACCGAACTTTTTTTTTTTCCTTTGAGACAGAGTCTCGCTCTGTTGCCCAGGCTAAAGTGCAGTGGCATGATCTTGATTCATTACAGCCTCCGCTTCCTGGGTTCAAGCGATTCTCCCACCTCAGCCTCCCAAGTAACTGGGATTGCAGGCGTGCACCACTACGCCTGGCTAATTTTAGTATTTTTAGTAGAGATGGGTTTCACCATGTTAGCCAGTCTGGTCTCAAACTCCTAACCTCAGGTGATCCACCTGCCTCAGTCTCCCAAAGTGCTGGGATTACAGGTGTGAGCCACCATGCCAAGCCCACTTCTGCTGAACTTCTAACCACAAATTTGAAATTTGTTTTCTTTTCTTTTCTTTTTTTTCTTTTTTTTTTTTTTTTGAGACAGGCTCTTACTCTGTCACCAAGGCTGAAGTGCAGTGTTGCAGTCATAGCTCACTGTATCCTTAAACTCCTGTGCTCAAATGCTCCTCCTGCCTCAGCTTACCCAGTAGCTAGGACTACAGGCGTGCACCACCATGCCTGGCAATTTTTTTTTTTTTTTTTTTTTTTAAAGATGAGGACTTGCTATGTTACCCACTGTGGTCTTGAATTCCTGGCCCGAAGCAATCCTCCCACCTTGGTCTCCCAAAGCACTGGGATTATAGGCATGAGCCACTCCACCTGGCCTTAACCACATTTTATTGTGGTAATCATGGAGCAGTATTTTCTAATGGTTCAAAATATGGGCTTTGGCATCAGAACAACTTGGATTTGACTCCCAGCTTTACCATTTTCTAGCTTTGTGAATTTGAGTACTTAAGTTAGTCTCTCCACTCTCCATGTCCTCATCTGTAAAATGGAATTAATGTTAGTGCCTGCCTTAGAGTTTTTGTGTAAAGACTAAATGTGTAAAGACTAAATGAGCTAAAGTATGTGAATGAGCTCAGTGCAATGAGAATTTAATAGCTGTGGGCTATTATTCAGTTTCTTCCCCCTACTTCTTTGTAAGATCCTAGAGGGCAGGATTCACTTCTATCTAGACTGTTTCTAAGGTAGGCCTTCTTGAGATTTCCAGTCTCTTTGAGATATTGATGGTGGACCCTCTCCCCAGGAAAAAAAAATGTATGCATGAATAAATTTTTGTAGGACTCAAAGCCAACAGGATCCCTCAACCTCTGTCTTAGAGCCTCAGTCAGCAGCTCATCATCACTCTTCCATCAACAGAGATAAATCAGTAACATGGCAAATTTGAGGTTACAGAGCGTTCCAGAGTCTTAGGGCAGAAGTTAGAATTTTCTGTTTCTTATTGCTCTCCTTCACCTGAGTGCATCAACTGATGGGTGCACAGTTTTGTTTTGATGAGCTAGGGCCCAGGTATAGATGGAAAGCTGGTTCCATCTCTTTACTTTCCTCTTTCTCATTTACTCATTCTTGCCCTAGTTTTAACCCTTCTTGACCTATTGATTCAGGATGCTCAGCTGTGGTTATCATCCCTTTCTTGGACTTCTTTCTCAAATAACACATTTGGATGCTTTTCGTTGTGTATTTTAATTTGGACCTGTGATGTCTCTGTCTTTCTAGCAGATTTGTTCTCAAGGTCATGCTATGCTTCTCTCCTGCACCCTTTCCTAGGAATTGTGAGCCAATATAAGGATTAATCCTACCCACTCCTAGAAATATACATTTCATCTGCTTTTCTGGTCAAGGCAGCTGGAAGCTTGGCACAGGGACTAACTTCTCTTGTGACTGTAAACACATAGGTACATTTTTATGTCAGGGTGTCTGAAATCCAACAGCATAAATGCTTGCTGAGAGGAAATGCTAACTGGCTGGAGAGACACGGAGGTTTCAGAAAGGAGGGAATTAATTGAGCAAAGCCTTGAAGGATGAGTAAGATTTGAATAAGCAAAGGAGAAATGTAAGTACCTTCTGGGCAGATCACTGAGACTGCTGAGTCCATACTTCCTCTACTCAGCAGTGCTCAGAGCTGATTAATTTATCACCAATTTCCATCTCAGGGAGCTGGGAAATACACGTAGTCTTTGTTTCTTCGGGCTGATAATGCTGGACATGTTCTTTAGGCAGATATCTTGACTTTTTTGTGACTGTTAAAAATGCACATTCCTGGCCGGGTGCCGTGGCACACGCCTGTAATCCCAGCCCTTTGGGAGGCCAAGGTAGGTGGATCACGAAGTCAGGAGATCGAGACCATCCTGGCTAACACGGTGAAACACCATCTCTACTAAAAATACAAAAAAATTAGCCGGGCGTGGTGGCGGGTACCTGCAGTCCCAGCTACTCGGGAGGCTGAGGCAGGAGAATGGCGTGAACCCGGGAGGTGGAGCTTGCAGCGAGCGGAAATTGCACCACTGCACTCCAGCCTGGGTGACAGAGCGAGACCCCATCTCAAAAAAAAAAAAAAAAAAAAAAAAAGCACATTCCTGAGTGGAGAGGAAGGTGTCTGCTAAGCGTCCCATTACTGCATTCATTATTTAGTGCTTTTTGCACCCTGTTAACCATTGAACATGACTCAGGTCCCACAGTGGGAATGCAAGCAGAGCATTGCATTCACAGGGCCACTCAAGTGCCTATTTCAGACTCTATCACACCTTATAACACTGAACTTGGTGGAACTTAACCTTCACAGACAACTGTTTTAATGACACAGACTTTAACCTTAGTGCAACTTATGTCATTTTCATGTGAGAAATACTTAGCACTTTTCTTTTCCCCTCTCTTCATTCCCCCATGTAATATTCTTATGGCTGAAAAAGATCTTTTATCCTTCTCCTTGTAATTTTTCAGTTTCAAAGCCTTTTATATAGTTGTATTAGGCATAAAAGACTTTCTAATTATCAGTAATAACCAGTCAGTGAATTCTAGCAGAAATTCTTTTGGCCTTCAAAAGACTTTCTTAGGCCGGGCGCGGTGGCTCATGCCTGTAATCCCAACACTTTGGGAAGCCAAGGTGGGTGGATCACCTGAGGTCAGGAGTTCAAGACCAACCTGGCCAACATGGTGAAACCCTGTCTCTACAAAAATACAAAAATTAGCCAGGTGTGGTGGCACACTTCTGTAGTCCCAGCTACTCAGGAGTCTGAGGCAGGAGAATTGCTTAAACCCAGGAAGCGGAGGTTTCAGTGAGCCGAGATCATGCCACTGCACTCCAGCCTGGGCGATAGAGTGAGACTCCGTCTCAAAAAAAAAAAAAAAAATATATATATATATATATATATACATATAGAGAGAGAGAGAGAGAGATTCTTAGATGGTTGGCATAGTAGTAAATAGGAAAGACAGAGATTGTCGAATTGATCAGTTGGATTTGACATTAATTTCCTTTTAATGACAGCCAGGCTTGGTGGCTCACACATATAATCCCAGTGTTTTGGGAGGTGGAGGTGGAGGTGGGAGGATCTCTTGGGGCCAGGAGTTCAAGACCAACCTGGGCAACATAGCAATACCCCATCTCTACAAAAAATAAAACAATTAGCCGGGCATGGTAATACATGCCTGTAGTCCTAGCTACTCGGGGGCCTGAGGCAGGATGATCACTTGAGCCCAGGAGTTTGAGGCTGCAGTGAGCTATGATTGCACAATTGCACTCCAGCCTGGGTGACAAAGCAAGACCCTGTCTCTGTTTTTTAAAAAATTTTCGTTTTGATGAAACATGGATTCCGAAATTGAAAGGAATGATCAGACCCCCCGCCAAGATTCTTTCCTCACTTTGGGTATGATCTTTGTTGATCACTTCAACTTTCTGAGATTCATTATCCTTATCTGCAAAATGGGAATAGCGGCCATCCGCTACTGACATCTCAGGGCCCTGTGAGACTCACAGGTAATATGTGTGAAAGCAGTTTCTGCAAAGAAGATGGGAAGGTGCTTTTATAAAACCCTGAGGAAGAGAAGACCTAGGGATGATATGTGTTAGTTGCCTCCAGTTATTTTACAGGCTGTTTCATGATTAAGGGGAAGAGCACGGTAGTATAATGAGAGAGTGAACATCTGGGCTAAATATAAGAAAAACATTTCAGATAATCTGAGCTGATTTTCAGGGGAAAGGACAACCTTATCGAGTAGTGAGCTCTCTGCCACTAAGAGTATTCAAGCAATGGATCAATGGTTCTATAAGGTATTCCTATATCGTGAAGGGGATTGCCCTAGTGGACATTAGAATTATTCATCTACTCTCCAATTCCATTTGTCACCATGTTCATTATATAGGCCAGTATTTATCTCAATATCTTGCTCCCAGTATCTCAGCTACCATGTCAGGTACCCCAGTGGCCCCATTCCTGTCTTCACCGTTAATAACTTGACATTATAGTAGCTCACTCTGAAATGCACAGAAGTGAGTTATGGTGTTGCCTTCTGAACTTGGTGCTTTGGATGCAAAGAACTTTCTCAAGTATTATAATCCAGTTGCCTCACTGAACAAGCATCAGACACAGAGTATGTGTCCAGAAAATCTGTTTCTCCTTAGTTTCTTTCTGAGAGCTTGAAATCAGGGCTACAGAACTATCTGGTGTGCCCTGAAAAGGAGATATCCTGGGAGAAAATGATAAAAATTCTGATGATCAGATATGACATCCCAGCCTTTGACTCAGTTTCTTTCTTTGTTGTATAATGCCAAGCCACTAACCATATGTACTAAGAATATAAGGTTGATTTTGCTGTAGAAAAAGTAGCTAGACTTTATTGAGCATCTGCTGTATGCTGTGGACAGCCTCGGCTCTTGATTCAGCTTCCCCCCGCCCCCCCGCCCCCAGTAATCACAACCCTAGCAGGTAGACGTGATTTACATATAAAGAAACTGGTGTTTAAAGATGTCATAAACCTCACCCAAATCACAAAGCTCTAGTACTTGGCAGAGCCAGAATTTGAACCCCAGCTTGTTCTGAGTCAGGGGCCCAAACAATTTCTACTAAAACCTACTGCCTTTATGATGAAAGGAAATGCACAGCCCTCCATCTCCTCACCCTTAGCTTAGTTGGAATTAATACTCAGCCTCATGTTCTTCTTCCATTACTTGCTGTTTCTAGAGTTTTTATAATGAGCACCTTATGAGGCCCAGCACTCCCCAGCTAGCTGTGAACATCTCTCTCCTTCTTTAGACTGAGTTCCAAGCAGGCATGCACATGTCTAAGTCATCCATGAAGCTTCACTCTGTCTGGCACACTGCTTTCTTCATACTGGATGTTGAAGAGATGTTTGGGAACCCCAGATAACAAATCTAATGAAAGCCACTCACCTCTCAAGCTTAGAAAGATTCTCATATTGCCACCCTGCATCCCATCCTGCAAACACCCTGTCCCCAAGCAATCAGTATTTGGTTGACTTTCCTTGCCTTAGATTTAATTCATTTTCCCTGCTGCACATGTCAGAAGCTTCAATCCATTAATGTGAAGAATTGCAAGAATTCTCTGGACAACTGTTCCCTACTTCCCCCCCACAACTCCCATCTTTTATGGCAAATAAATTTTCATTCACAATTGAACAGTTGGTTTTTCCTTTAGTTTGAAATCTGGATCAAGATGTTGGATAATTGGATTAAATCTTGTCTGAACGTTTGTCAATTTCACTTCCTCATTAAGCACCACATTGTAGAAAAATCATAATTATTACAATGCAGTTAACATAGATGTCACACAAGAGGAGGTTGTACTGAAGTGAGGGAAGGGAATTTGAATCTGCATATTCCCACAAATGAAATATAAGGTTGTCCCTTTTGATGTTTCTTAGATGAGCTTTCTTTTAGCCATACTTAACAAACATTGTCCTGAGATAGAATCCTGAATTTCTAGAGTCTTGGAGTTAACAGCAACATTAAAAAGAGGTTATTTGGTTTCGCCTCTCCTCCAATGCAAGAATCTCTCAAGAGTATTTTTGATAGGTGTGGATGAACATTGCTGAATATTGGGCTTGAGCTCACATACCTACAATGACAGACCTTCATTACTTTTGTAATCCCAGAGCTCCAGTTGCTAGAAACCCTTATTCTATTTGAGTTCCCTTACAATTTCTATTTATTCATTTATTCCTCCATTGGGCAAACATTTACTAAAAACCTGTGCCCTACCAAACAACATTCTCTTCACTAGGCATATAAAGATAGGCTGCTTTAGAATTGTCATGGTCTCAAGGAGATAGACCTATAAAAATAATTGTGATTCATATAATCAAGGGTGTGAGAGGCTGTGTACAAGATGCTATGAGAGCATAGTGTGGGAGCAGTAAACTTTGCCTGAAGGAGTTTAATGATGTCTTCACCCAGGGTATAGAGCTTGAATAGAATCTTAAAAGATGAGGGGAGTTTGTCTCTGGAGAAAGGGTGGAACAGTATTCAGGAAGAAGGAACTGAATGTTTAAAAGCATGGCAATGTAGAAGAGCCTGTCATGTCACACGGGCTGATGACTAAGTCTGAGGTGGCAGGACCATAGGGTGCCTCCATGGGAGCAGGAGATGAGGATGCCAAGGGAAGCCCCCAAGGAGCAAAGGGTCTGAAATGTGGTGCTGAGAATCTGGGAGCTGTTAGGAAGTCACTGATGCTTTCAGGTGTTAGAATGACAACATCAGTTTTGCTTTTTTCAGTGTACCTCTGGTGGCTTGTGGCAGGTGGCTTGGCAGGTCAGGAGACCATTAAGAAGCTAATGGAATCATCTAAGTGTATCCATTCAGGATAGAGTCAGAAAAACAGATCCCATGCCAGGTAGTTTAATAGAGGGGATCTAATATGAGGAACTAGTTACAAAGGTGTTAGAAGAGCGGAAAAACCAAACAAGGGACAGCAGGGCAACCCAGATTAATAATAATCAGAAGTGGCTACTGTCCTTAGGGATAGAAGGACAGAAGAGACAGTGTTAGCAGAGCCAGCAGGCACTGGGACCAGAGAGAGAGCACTGCCCAGTGGGAGCCCAGAGGACAGAGAAAGGGGCTGCCTGGTGGAAGCTAAACCCCTGCAGGAGACTCAGCCACTGCCACAAATACTGCCAGAAGAGAGCTGGGAGAGAACTCACTGCTTCTTCCTTCTACCCACTATTCAAATTCCAACTACTGCCTCCTTGTTGACCAAATCAAAGTGGAAGTGTGTTGGCAAAGGAGCCCAGGCAATGCAGTTTATGGCAATCAGCCTCCTGTGTTACAGTACAAACTAGAGGAAGGGCAAGAATGGGTCTGAGGGCAAAGAGGTTAAGGGGAGGCATGTGAGGGCTGCTGTGGGTGTAGCCTAGGGGCAGGCATTGCAGATGAAAAAGCGAGATGAGTTTGAGTGTATGACTGGGATGAGACAAACAGGGAGCTGGAGCTAGCTCTGAGGTGACATGCTTTGGAAGGTCAAGTAACCAGAAGACAGGGACCAAGCACCCTGTCTCCTCCCTGTAGGCTCTGTCAGTTACATGCATGGGAATTTCCGTCTCTAACTTCTTTTTTTTTTTTTTTTTTTTTTTTTTTGAGACGGAGTCTTGCTCTGTTGCCCAGGCTGGAGTGCAGTGGTGTGATCTCTGCTCACTGCAACCTCTGCCTCCCGGGTTCATGCCATTCTCCTGCCTCAGCCTCCCGAGTAGCTGGGACTACAGGTGCCCGCCACCATGCCCAGCTAATTTTTTTTGTATTTTTAGTAGAGACAGGGTTTCACCGTGTTAGCCAGGATGATCTCGATCTCCTGACCTCGTGATCTGCCTGCCTCGGCCTCCCAAAGTACGTCTCTAACTTCTAAGACTGTTTGTACATCAGCCTTTCCACCTGCTGTCTTCAGGTTCTAGCCAAAGACAGCATTAATTCCTTTCATCTTCCGTTCTGTTCTCAGTCCAGGACTCACATTTGGGTTGTCACATTATCACTCTGAATGATATCTGGCTCTTTTTCTTGCAACGTTGAAAAACTGAGCTGTCATTAATGGAGTCAAGCAGAGTTGTAAAAGACTCGCTGTTAAATCTGAAACTTGTTTTCCACAAATGCAAATCGGGAAAGGGATAAGTGGTCGCATATGCAGTTGCCTGCTGTCTTGTTTGCTCAGTTGTGTGTTGTAAAGAAAGCATGTCTGAATAACAGTGATCACCCCGTCTCTCTGCTACAATGCAGGCCACTGGTCCTCTGGAAGAGTAGCCTTCAAACTTTTTCCAAAATTATTCAAATGAAACATGCCTGGTATCCTGCTATATAAACAGATGAAAGAGGAGATATAGTTGAAGCTGAGTTGGAGCCTCAAAACCTACTAGTAGGTGAAGCCCCCCCACCTACTAACTCTGAAAGATAGAAAGTTCTAGAAGGAAAGAGATCCAGAGAAGGTAGTATGAAAACTACTGTCCAGAATAATCCACTCGTTATTACGTGGGTAGGAGAAGTGAAGAGGACAGACGAGGACGTTTTTCAGGTTATTTCCCATCTAAGACTTCATTATTCTGTAATTCATGAACAGAGATTGGAAGACCGCTCTCTGGGAGGCTGTAAAACTACAGAAAGAACATGAAATTTGAAGTTAGTTGGAGCCTATACTTATTAGCTGTATGATTCTAGGCAAGTTGCTTTATCTTTTGGATTTTTAGTGACCAGTCAACAAGATGAAAAGAGCTACTTCCCTGGGTTATTATGTGGATTAAATAAGAAGAGATGTAATTACTTTTGTCTTTGATATAGAGTAGGGACTGGTTAATTGATAGGGAACTTGGTATTACAGTTGAGAGTATGAGCTTTGCAGCCTGACTATTTGGGCTTGAAATTTTTATCCCTTACTTACCAGCGGTGGGACCTTGGGTGGGTTATTTAAACTTCTTTGTGCCTCAGTGTATTCATCTGTAAAATGAGGATAATGACTGTGGTAACTACCTTATAGAGTTCTTTTAAGAATTGAATAAAGTAATGCACATAAGATATTTATAACAGCACCTGGAATATAGTAAGTGCTCAATCAATAAATGTCAGCCAGAGTTATTATTATGAACTATGATGTAGACAAAGGACTATACCAAGTGCTTTAAGAGATATAAGGATGAGCAAGACCTGCCCCAGCGACGAAGATGGTTTTAGTCTACTGGAGGAAGGAAGACTGGTGTATAGAGCATGGGGCTGGAGGGCCTGCAGGTCTCCATGCTCAAGCAATAGTGTCAACAAGATCAAGTGTAACTTGAGAGCCTGGGATGGGGCCGAAGCTGCAGGGGCTGCACCATAGCTATGGGGCCATGTCTTAATCCACTTGGGCTGCCATAACAAAATACCACAGACGAGGTGGTTTAAACAACAGAAAATTATTTTCCCGAGTTATGGAGCCTGTGAAGTCCAAGATCAAGGTGCTAGCGGACTCCATTCCTAGTGAGAGGTCTCTCCTGGGGTTGTAGACCACCAACTTCTCCTTATGTCCTCATGCGGCCCTTCCTCAGAGTGTGGATCTGGTAGTGAGGGGGTGGGAACAGAGAGAGGAAGAGAGATCTCTTCCCCTTCTTATAAGGCCACTAATTGTATCATGAGGATACCACCCTTTACCTAATCTAGCCCTAATTACCTCCTAAAGGGCCCATCTCCAAATACTTTCACACTGGGGGTTAGGGCTTTAACATACGAATTTTGGGAGGGACCCAAACATCCAGTCCTTAACAGACAGGGATAACAAGCAATTGTAACTACCAAATACTGAAACCTCACCAAGCAATGGACTGTGCTAGGCACTTAATGTGCTATTTCGTTATTCTCCCAAACTATTGTTGGGATTAGGTCTCTTCTCTACCATAAAGGATATTGAAGATCAGAGGAGTTAAATAAGTTAGAACAGCTAGAAGAGGCATAACTAAGAATCTAATCCACCTCTCTTTGACCCTACAACCAGGTGACCTAGTTTATCATCCAAACTGGGCACTCTTGAAAGTGAAAAAGGGTTTGCTATTAACAATTATGTCAGGGCAATAGGCATAAATATCAGCTGTGTTAGGCAAACCAGGATTTAGGGTCATCCTACCCAAAGCTGGTGACTGCTCTTCCTGCTGGGCCAAACTGCCTCTGAGACCAGAACATGTGAGATTTCAAACAGAAGGCAAGAAGCTTCTATCCTTCTTGTCCCTGAAACTCTTTGTCCATAATGCTACCTGTGCTGAAGCAACAATAGTACTCCCTCCAAGATGCAGGTTCCCTGATGCATGCTTGCTCCTTTGGTAGACATAAATCAGATCACTTGGAGATCTGTTACATGGTGAGAAAATGTGATTCAGGGGTATCTGTTAACTGCTGCTGCTGCTGTGAGTCTGTCATTATTCCTGTAATACAGATCATTAACATTCACAGAACCTTAACTACAGCATCTCTAACGAGCAGAGCTGTAATATACAGTTTCCCCATAAATATCCATTGATGCTGGCACTCATTCTCTCTTAGTACAGTAATTCAGCTTTTCTGGATAAATCATCATGTTGAGGTTCTTTCTTTCTCCTTAACTGCCATTATTAGTGGATGCAGAAGAATAATGAACAAAGTCTAGTGTAAAAAAAAGGAGCAAGAGCTAAATAAATGATCATGGGGAATAAGAAAATATATATTGGTGACAGTCACAACCCAAAGGATACAAAACTTGTTTTTGCAGTGACTTAGAAAGGAGGCGAGAAACTAATATTTGCTGAGCGCTTACTAGGGGCCAGCAAGTGTGCTTAGTGCTTGGCAAGCTGTATCTACTTCAGGGAATCCAAAGGCTTCATTGCTTAACAATCATTTTTGACACTTTTAAAAACACAACTTCCTTAGCCCCAATTCGATAGATCTGCTTTTGTAAGGCTTGCATCTATTTATATATAAAGAGAGATTTACAAAGTTCCCCCAGCTGATTCAGATTCTCAACTAAATTTATCCAGTTTAATTAAGATGACAACTATTATTTTCTCCATTGTATGGATAAGAAGATTGAGGTTGAGATGCTAAGGAGAGGGAAATAGAGTCTGATTGTGAAGGATAAATCCCTTGCTTCTCTACTTATGCCGAAAGGAAGGTCTGCTATTAAGGTGACATTCACTCTCACTTTTTACAACACTTTCTCTCTTCTCCACCTCCCATCTTCCTGCCTATCATAGAAGTTCTGTCAGCATATCGTTATGTTTCTCTCCAGCAGGTTAGCAGTATTGCTGTCCTTATCTCTAGAATTATCCTTTTTTTCACCATTACATGCTGTCAGCCCAATACTCAGGGTTCCCCATCCCACTTTCTTTCTTTTTCCTTTTTTATTTTTTTGAGATGGAGTCTCGCTCTGTCACCCAGGCTGGAATGCAGTGGTGTGATCTCAGCTCACTGCAACCTCCGCTTCCCAGGTTCAAGTGATTCTCCTGCCTCAGTCTCCCAAGTAGCTGGGATTACAGACATGTGCCACGATGCCCAGCTAATTTTTGTGTTTTTAGTAGAGACAGAATTTCTCCATATTGGCCAGGCTGGTCTCAAACTGCTGACCTCAAGTGATCCGCCTGCCTTGGCCTCCCAAAGTGCTAGGATTACAGGCATGAGCCACCACACCCAGCCGCCACCCTACTTTCTTATATTTTAAAACCTTGTAGCCTTGTCCCTTTGGCAGTTTCTATGTTGCTGTTTCCACAGTCGCCTAGGATGTTCTAGCCTCCTTCCTCCTGCCATTGTTATAGGGATAGCCCTTATACTATGATCTGGCCATGGTCCTCCAAGAGAGAATTGGGTTAGACTGGAACAGGACAAGCTCCTAAACTGCCCACCATGGCTGCCCTTTCCAGAACCCTAACCACTCACCCTAGTCTTAAAACACAGGTCGTCTTATACCTTTTGTTCTCCTCACTATAACATAATTGTTATGGGCACATACTCCAAAGCTAACCCACTTTAGGTGAAAATTCTAGCTCGGTCATTTACTAGCTGTGTGACCCTGGGCAAGTTAATTAAACCTTCTGTGCCTTGGTTTCCTCCTCTTGGAAACAAGGCGAGTAACAGCACCTCACGTTTGTTGCGATAATTAAATGAGGTAATATATGAATGCACATAGAATGGTGTCTGGTTCATACAGAGGAAGTTCCATCTAAGCATTAGCTATAATTATTATTGTCCTTAGTGACCTCTGCCTGGCCAAGAAGAGAGGAGGTCTTAATATTACCCTGTGACCCATTCCTTCCTCTTGAGTCCAGAATGTACTTTTTTTGTCTTCTTTGTGGATTTGTCAAAACAAGAAATAATGATCCCAACCACCCGTGACCTTACTAAGGAGATATGGGCTACTTTTAATTAAAAAGGTTTTTCATAGAACAGATATAGCAAACGTGTGAGTAAAGACACTTTCTGCTTTTGGTATCTATGGTAAGATCTCCTTAACTATGCCTTCTTCATTCCCTAGCTACAAGGTCCTCAGAGATAAGGTGTCCAGCACCAGAACAAGTAGGAAAACAAGCCCGAGGCCAGAGCACAGATGTCAAAGTGGCAAACATAGAGTTCCCTTTCCCTGTAGTATTTGCATGAAGTGTCTTTTTTGTTATCGTTTTATAGTTTCTGTAATACTGTAAGATGCCTCCTAGAACCAGTCTCTGGTCACTTATGCATTGCTCTGCTCAAGCATTCATTCCTTCACCCATTTTTCAAATAAGGTCTAGTGTCCACTGTGTGTCAAGCACTGAGCTAGGCACAGGTACAAGTCAAACCAAGTCCCAACCCAGGTCACCTTCCACGGGGAAAGGCTGCCAACAGAAAAGGAAACAGACAAACAGAGCAGTGAGTGCTTGAAACAAAACCAAACAAGGCAATGAACAAGAGCTGGGGCTACTCCTGCATTAGGTGGAGTCAGAGAAGGTCTCCCTGAGGAGGTGACACCTGGCCCAAGTCTGAATTAGGAGAAGGAACCAATCAGATGAAGAGTGTGCCAGGAACAGAGAAAGACAAGGGCAAAAGCCTTGAGGCAGGAATGAGCCAGTGACTCACCATGAAGGGAGAACATGGTAGGAAAGGGGAGAATGGTGGAGGCAAGTTCAGAACAGTTGACACCCCAAGTGTGGATGGTTTTGTAGGCAGTGGTGAGGAGGTTGGATTTTATTCCAAGTGCAATAAGAGACCTCATCTGATTTTTTTTTTTTTCTTGAGTAGGAGTCTTACTCTGTCACCCAGGCTGGAGTGGAGTGGTGCAATCTCGGCTCACTGTAACCTCCATCTCCTGGGTTCAAGAGATTATCCTGCCTCAGCATCCTGAGTAGCTGGGACTACAGGCATGCACTGCCACACCCAGCTAATTTTTGTATTTTTAGTAGAGATGGGGTTTCACCATGTTGGCCAGGCTGGTCTCAAACTCCTGACCTCAGGTGATCCGCCCGCCTCAGCCTCCCAAAGTGCTGGGATTACAGGCGTGAGCCGCCGCGCCCGGCCTCATCTGATATTTTTTAAAGACCACTTTGACCTCTCTTTGGGAGATGAACTTAAGTGGGCAAAAGTGGAAGCAGCACTCTTGGGCAAAAGAGAATGCCACAGAGAAGAGGGAGAGAGGCAGACAGCTTTGGGATATGTTCAGGGATAGAATCAGCATTTCTTCATGAAAGCTTACATGTCAAAGTGTGGGAGAGAGAGGAATCTAAAGTAGCTTGTGACTTGAGCATCTAGGTGTGAGTTGGTGGCCTTTATAGAGACTGGAAGACAAGGAAAGAACACGTTTGGGGAGATCAAAAGTTCTTTGGACATGTTAAGTTTGAGAGGCTGAAAATTATGGGATATAGTCACCCACTAATTGCTAAAATCCAAAATGGTCCTGATCAGATATTGGCGAGACTTTCAGTAGCGAAGACTATCTCAGATTGCTGACACACTAGAACCACTGATGGGTCTCACTGGGAAGGAGCTTGAAGAGTCAGTTGAAAATGCCATCCAGATATTAGTAGGGCTAGGAGGGCATCATATCCCTGTTCTTATAACTTTTTCTGGAACTTCTGCCTAGTATTTCTTTGAAGTTAGAAATGGAGTAATTTATCCTAATTGTAAAGCCCCATTTGGCCAAATGGCAGGGTAGATGTGACAGCTTTTTTCTGGAGTTCCTAATAACAAATGCCATATCTCTGTGATTGTGTGTGTGTGTGTGTATGTATGTGTGTGTGTGATCGTGTGTATGTGTGCATGCATGCACATACATGCCAAGCATTTGAAAACAACATATGGAATGCCATACCCTCCATATAATGTCATGCTATCACCAAGTTTCTTTCTGTTCAGTTTTCTATTGTATTATATAAAGAAGTTCATCCATTTATTCATTTTGTTTTTTAAAATGTATCAATTCAATATAATTTCCTTCTGTGTGCTGACCACTAGGCCATCTAGGTACTAGAAAATCAAAGATGAATAAGACAGTTTCCCATATGAGGAACTAGAGTCTCTACAAGGCCATAGGCTATAGTAGAAAAGAGGGAAGGTAATAGTCATTGTGCCTGGACATGTGTGATGCCAAGGGTAGTCATCTAATCCATCCTGAGGGTCATGGAGGTTTTGAAGAGCTGACTAGAGATAACATGTCCTCTAGGGGTATGTTATAGTTTTCTTGATAAATAAAAGTAGAAATCATGATCAGACAGAGGAAAGGTCTTATGCCAAGGCCTGAGATGGTAAAGAATATACCTACAGACTTATTCAGAGGGCATGTGATATTAAGACACACACAAACTATTTTCAAGTTCTACAATCAATCAAAAACAGTCGAGGATAACGCTCTTTCAGATATCCTCTGGACTTCAAACCTTAAGGCTGCCTTCCAGGTCATCTAGTTGTGAATATTGCCTCATTCGATCCTCAGAGCTCTAGGAAGTAGTCATTTCCCTCAAGGGAAACTACTGGTTTCCCTATGAGCAAGCAAGGGTTTCCTTTGAGCCTGTTTCCTTGTTACAAAATGTGAGCTAGGTTTCTCTGCTCTGACTTATGATGGTCTCCTCTTAATCTATACAACTGTGAGAGGAACCATGGTGGAGTGAAAAGGAACTAGAACAGGAGTTGGGAAGTTGCTACATCATCCCAAATCTGCCACTATTATTATCATGTTTTTGAGAAAGTTGAAGGTCTCTGTTTCCTGATTTGAAATAAATACAGGGATGAGTTGGGTTAGAGATTTCTGTAGTCTCTTCTAATTCTATTCTGCAATTCTGAAATTTTTAAAACAGCTCAAAATCCCATCAAGTAGGTGCTACAAAATCATCATATTCCTAAAGGATACTGTATTGAATTGTTGACTTAATAGAAGATCCAAATAATCAGACACTAATGGAAGCCTTACTATTTGTCAGGCACATGTTCAACTGTTACCTTGAATCTTATCCTGGGTAATCTTCAACTCAGTCTTATGAGATGGATATTTCCCTAATGTTACAACAAAGAAAAATTCAAGGATAGTAATCGAGTCTAATTCCATTCACAGAAAAACGGAATTCTTGCTTTGGCTATTCACATGAAGTTGGTTGCAGTCCCGGGAACAGCACAGCCACAATGAACTTGTACATGCTCTGTAAAAATGCTCAGCCTGGTACCCTTGTTGTGGCACTTCTCACACTCTGAATTGAATTAGTGTTCTCCAGTTTCCCTAACTTTGCTGTTACAACTCAGAGAATGGACACCGTCTAAGTGCTCACAGGATAGGCATAGTGTCTGGTTCATAATGGGCATTCGGGAAATGTTTATTCCTTATTTAAATTAATGCCTTGATAATCAAATCCAAGAATGAAGAAGTGAATGAGGAAATGAATTCCTAAGTATGTAAAATCTGCATTCCTCTGGAGAAGAAAAGCAAAAACATTTTGCATGGAACGGCTGTCAGAGCAGCAGGCAAAGCCCTCCTGGCTATTTTTTCCTTTGCTGTGACATCTCTCCATTTGTGATTTCCTCTGATTTGCTCTGCATTCAGCCTGAGCCTGTGCTACTCTTGCTTGATTTCAGCTCCCTCCAATATTTCTTGTTACCATTTGGATGCCATCTGGACCGCAGTGGTAACCCCTCCAAGAGAGGCACAGCAGCAAAGAAAGATGACTGACTCTGAGAAGTTCCCCTGCCCTCCTCCCCAAAAGTGTTTTGAATCCTGTCATCCTGCTGATGGGAGCCAATTTCACATTACTGTGATTCTAATTCACTCCCTTTTCAAAGTACTGAACTGATGCCAAATCTTGTTAGGAGTTTTTGAAAAATCCTTGAGTTTTTGCTAATGTGGAACTAGAATAATAGGTTTTTAAAAGGAAAAAGGAGATAGGAAGAGACCATTAAAAACAAATAATTGCAAGCTTTTAGAAATGCTTCCCCTTTGATTTCTGGTTTTCTGTGTATATTTATACCTGTGCATATCTGTTTGTTCTATCAAAAGCCATTAAAGTAGCAATGCCATCTTGCAGCCTGATCCTTCCCCTCACAAAGGAGATAAGGCAAGGGAAGAGGGCATTGAATCCTAAAATCCTCCTTGTCAAATGTCAGATATTTGAGATGAAGTCATGGATTAGAATCAGGAAGCTTCTACGAGTGTGTAAATTATATATTCTTTCCCAGTGTTTCTAGAGAGCTCTGTGTCTGTGATGGTGTTTTCAATGTTTCTTCCTAATTTCCATCCCTGGCCCCATCTTGGCTATCATGATGATGACACAGCACAGAGAGCGCTATATCATCATCTCTGTTTTTATGATGACTGCCCTCTATCCCATGACAACAGCATTTCCACCATCAAATTCCCACTACTGCTGCTGACACCAGCTCAAAATATATGCTGCCCCCAGCTTCCCCAACCCCACGATGTAGGGTTGGGTGCCATGTATTTAATAATAAGGACAATAATACTAGTAACCACCAGCATGAATCTTGTCATTACTCTGAGCTGGGCCCCATATACTACAGGTTTTATGTGAATTATCTCACTGATAACACCAACTGTATAATTTCTTGTTTTCTATCTCCTTCATGTGGTAGAAGACTTTGTTTATAGATGCTCAGTAAATCATGTATATTTAATAAATAGAAGTAAGTGAATGGATGACCAATGATCACAGTCTTATGACAGACCTCTGGAACTACCACCATCTCCCCTTAACACTAGCACTATCATTTCTCAGGCGTCACAATTGATATCTCCTTTCCTTTATCACTGTTACTGAGGTCAGACTCAATTTAGCCATTAGTAGCTTATTTGCATAATGATTTTCTGCCTGCAGATCATGCCACCAACCCCAACCTCATGTATATTTTCAAGAAAATATTGACTGACTTTTAGAAAAACTGAGCATCAAAACATGGAGTTACAACCTGAGTTCTAAAATAGGTATAAGGGATGGATAGGAAGAAGAGTGGGAAGGAGAAAGGGTGGGGTGGGTGGAATGATGAGGCAGACTCCTAGAACAGTCCAGCCTTGCTGGTGTTAAAAACTGGGGGAAGGTCCAAGAGTAGGAGCTGCTTTGACTGAGCATCTGCTCTGTGAAGACTACAATGCATCTTCAGCCTCTTCTCCAGGTGACTTCATCCCTTCCCTAAACTAATATCACCCAAATTTTTGCCATGACCTGGCACCTGTCTACCCTCACCTACCAAGCAAATAATTCCATGACTATTTTTCCTCCTGCCCTCCCTTCCTTCCTTCCCTTTCTGTAAATTTCAAAAGGGAAATGACACCTGTTGAAATTTTACTCTGCCAGTTGCTGTGCTATTTTCCTATACATCAGTCTTCTCACTGCTTCCTCTCTGCAAGCCCACATTGTAAGCATTGTTATCCCTCTTTTGCAGTGGGGGAAACTGAGGCTTAAATGATAAACTTTATTCAAGGAAATGCCAGTGATGGAGCAGCAGTTTGAACTGAAAACTACTGTTCCCCACATCTAACTTTTCATTCCCTCACTCTGCCTCTCCTGAAACCATCACATTTCTCACTTTAAAAGTGCTCAGTGTTTTCACTTGCAAGCAAATTAGTTTTCTTGACATTAGATGAAAGTTGAGAAGGCCAAGAATCCAGAGGCAGAGGCTTTACCCACAGCTATGCCCTGTCATTTGCGTTAGCCCGTTCAGGTCAGCTTAGCACCCTGAACTTTGTCCACTGGGTTCTGCGTTTCTTGCAATGTCTTAATAAGGTGCCAGCAAAATCCTTGCACCAACATTCCCCATGCCGAACTTCCCCTTGCATATTAAGAAAGAACATTTCAAGAATCAGCTTAATTTGTAAGAATCTGGATGTAAATATTTTGTTGTCCAAGGATTTGTGGATATATTACACGTGTGAGCACTTCAAGGGAAGATGTAACTTTTATTGTAAGATTGAAGCATTTCCCTTTATCCTCCAACCTTCTGTACAACCTTTGGGATCCTCCTGAATTGGAAGCTGGAAGAAGGAGGACTATTAGCTGCTAAAGTGAGGCCCAAATTGGAGTAATTAGAGGCAACGTCTCAATCATTATAAAGACAAAACCTCAAAGAGGCACCAATTTCTCTATTAGATCAAGGTATTGAGTCCAGCAAGACCACCGATCCCCAAATCTCAGTAGGCCTGGCACATTTTGGCATTAAATGGGATTCCATTTTGTTTCAGTTCTAATGAAGCTTCATGGATTTCCATTTGAAACATGAATCTTAACTTTCTTCTAAAAAACTCCACAAATATCTGGCTTTCACTTAGCTCCGGCAATGAAAAAAAACCTCTTATAGCTAGAAGAAGTCGGCTGCTTTTGCAAACTGAATTTGATTTCATGGTACTGTCTAGACATAGCAAAAAAATCAATTCTCCCACAGACATCTTCCAGTCAATGCAAATATAGGATATTCTTTAAAAGAATAGAAGAGAATATGTAAGGAAGGACTATGTCTAGTATTTAGGAAGCACCCCATTAACTGGAAGTTTATTTTTTAATATATTTTATCTAGAGTCGTGCTGTCCAATACTGTAGCCACTAGCCACATGAAGCTATTAAATCAAAAATAATGAAAATGTAATAAAATTTAAAATTTAGTTCATCAGGCATGCTAGCCATATTTGAAGTGTGCATGTATCTACTGACTGCTGTATTGGACAGCACAGATAGAGAACTTTACATCATCCCAAGAAGTTCTATTGGACAGGGCTGGTCTCTAGACCATTTATTAAACCATTTATTAAAATCAGAGTTTCTATTCCCCACCTCAAGCCACTTGCCCTTGTTCTTCAATTGCCAAACAGAGCTTTCCCATCTCTCTCTGCCAAGAAATGGGAAAGTGGCTGTTCACTCTTGGGTAAAGGTGATAAAGAGCATAGCATAAACTCCTAGATAACCCAGAAGGAATTAGTCTCCATTAGCATGTGTCTTCCTTGTTAAATCCTTCATTAGGGAAATGTAACATGCATTCAGATGCCTGGAATCTGTAGGTGTCCTTAATAGTACCCACCTTAGTGCAGTTACAAATCACTTAAGTTAATCCATTTCTCTTGAGCCTTCTAAATGGATAATTGAATTTTTGTTTCGTTTTGTGTTTTTTGTTTTTCAGCCTTGGTCTGAGCTCTGAGTTTAGATCTAGAAGCCTTGTGTGGTCCTTGTCACACAACTGTCCACCCCAAGCTACAAAGATTATACAGCATAGCTCTGCTCTGACCTTATGAAAAGAAGGACCATGTGTTATTCATCTAGGTATCTCCAGTGCCCAGCCAGGACATGACATGTGGAAAGCACCCAGTGAATGTTCATTGAAGAAACTAATTAATCAATTGCATAATCAATCAAGGCAGCTTCAGTTTTCCTAGGAACCTTCTGCTAATTATTCCTACTGAGAGTTTATTCCCCAGCATGGTGATTTGCAAATCCGGCTGCACATTAGCATAGCGTGGGGAGCTTTTAAAACCTACTGATGCCAGGGCCCCACCCTAGACCAGTACAATCCAAATCTCTGATGATGTGGCTCTGGCATTAGTAGCTGCCCCAAAGGATTACACTGTGCAGTCAGGAGTGAGAACCACAGCAGGTTTCTGATTTGGAAGCCATAAAAAAGATTTTCTTCCTTTGTGAGATTTTTTTTATCCCAAGTCCCTTATCCACTGTCATTTTTCCTGTAAGAATAACATGAATCTGGTCTTCCTTGTTGCCTTACTCAGTAATGGAATCATAGTGTCCCCACTGTTTTGAAAAGAGATTATAGGAAGATAAACTCCCTGTGGGAACTTTATTTCCATGTTTTAATGATGATTCAAGCCAGAACCATATTGAAACAACATGAGAATATCTTCTTTTATATTTCCTCACTGGAAGCTTAAGTTGCGAGTAAATTTGATGTCATGTTGAGTTTTTAAAAGAATACAAAACTGTGTACATGCTATGATAGTATGAAAAAAATCTGTAAGAAACAAAACAAAAAAGACTTTAATATAAATGAATTAGAACTCAAGTGGTAATTGTGGGTAAAACAAGATTTAGCAATTTGGAGAGACTAGGGAGTAGATCAGTTTTTGTCTATAAGAATCACCTGGGAAAAAGTGTATTTATTAGCTGGCAGCATCTCCCCACTGGCTGGAGGAAGTGCACTGGGTGTCTCCAAAGGTTGCCCCAAACAGGTAGCTGTAAGAGAGCAGCTCTGAGAAATGACTGAGCCAGAGTTAGAACAGTAAGGTAGACACAAGGTAAAAAAAAGATACGGATGGGATGAAGATGATCAGGCAAGACTGTAGCCAAGAGCAGGGCAAAAGAGAGAAGATGGAGTCAAGAATGGATTGAAGGGTTCAGGAGTAAGGATGGGAGGTCTAGGAAGTGTTGGGCTCTTGAGTGGAGGTGGTTTCTAAAGAGAGGCCATTGGAAAGATTTTCATTTCTTTTTCCTCTATTTCCAAATATTATGTAATAATAATTTCCTAGCATTAAAAAAATATGTGCATTGGGGCTGGGCTTGGTGGCTGAGGAAGGCTGAGGTCAGGAGTTCAAGACCAGCCTGGCCAAACTGGCAAAACCCCGTCTCTACTAAAAATACAAAAATTAGCCAGGCATGGTGGTATGCACCTATAATTCCAGCTACTCGGGAGGCTGAGGCAGGAGAATCACTGAAGCCTGGGAGGCAACGGTTGCAGTGAGCCAACATTGTACCACTGCACTCCAACCCACGACAGAGTGAGACCCTGTCTCAAAAAAAAAAAAAAAAAAAAAAAAAAAAAGTGCATGTGCGTTACTGAAATGAGCCAAAAATAGGAGAAGATAATAATAGCTACTATTCCTTGGGCATCTACTATGTGCTAAACACCAAACAAGACTTTGCACACACATCTCAATTAAACTGCTCAATAAACTTGCCATGATGTCATTACCCACTCCACTTTAAAGATGAGAAAACTGAGGTTAATTGACTTGTCAAGGGTTACATGGCCAGCACATCCATGGCCTGACGTGACCAAGACCCGGTCCATATCTATGTGATTCCAAAAAAATGCATTTGTTCATCTGCTCAGATCAATCTTCAACTGAATTCAAAGAAATCGCCTCATCACACCTCAGCTCCACACCTCTCCAAAGGCCACCTCTCCTTTCCCAGGAAGGTGACAACACGCTCATGCTGACACTGGTTATCCTCCCACATTTTCATTATATGGGACATGGTGGGGGGTTTTATGAGCCTCTTCCACAGGCTGTTTTTCAAATTTATTTAATTCATCCATCATGCTCCGAAGCCATTTGCTTTTTTATATTGGACAGATGTAATGAGATTTTGGACACTAAAAAATGTTTTTATTAAAAGTTATGACCCAGAGCTAGTTGGTAGGGGCTCTGCCATAAATTGCTAGGAGTGTGTGAATTTATAAAGGATGTAGCGACATAACCTTAACCTCTTAGGCCACACCATAGATGATAGGATCACTTAGACTAATATTGTCTCACCACCTCTCCCCACCTCTGGCCAAATAATAATTATAATAATGTCTATGGTTATTTGATGTGGTGGCTTTTCCTCTCATTGAAGCCACAGTTAAGTCATGTTGAACCATGGGCTGGTGGAAACAGGTGGTTGGTGGTTGACCTGAAGGCTCTGCCTTAGAGGGCCTGGGCACATTGATTCTTCCACTCTGCTCTGCTCTGCACTTTGTAACTGGGGCTGAGGGAAGTAACAGTCACATGTCCTATAGACAGGGTGAAAGCAAATCCTGACAAAGCACAGTACTACGAGGCTATGGGTGATAGTTTTCCCACTCCTGCATTGCCAAAAGCTCTCCTCAAAACTATTCATGCGTAATAACTCCATTTTAATGTCCATATTAGCAGATTTATATTAATGTTTTACTATTTGGAAATCATCCAAAGAATAATTAGCTTATACATAGACTAGAACATGGCCATTAAGATATACATGTATATGATATATTGTACATACCTATAATGTGTAATATAAACAATAAAATACAAAGTTAACAAAGCAATTAAATGTTGCCCACTGCCAGCTACTTCTCGAATGTGCATTCATTTCTGTATTTTTGAGGACTGCTATGTGCCAGACCCTCTACCAGCTGCAGGGGGAGACCCTCTACCAGCTGCTTGAGAAAGTTCATGGTGTAATAGACATAGATACATAGATAATGTACTGAGGACACTCAGGAGGATTTCAATTCAAAAGATAGAGAAACTCTTCATGGAGGAGGTGGCTTTTGGGATGGGTTTGAAGAATTTGGGGAGCACTGAGCTTGCAGAGATGAGGGGAGGAGCATTTCTTTTTTTTTTTTTGAAATGGAGTCCGCTCTGTCACCCAGGCTGGAGTGCAGTGGCACGATCTCGGCTCACTGCAACCTCCGCCTCCTGGATTCAAGTGATTCTCCTGCCTCAGCTTCCCGAGTAGCTGGGATTACAGGCGCCTGCCATCACGTCTGGCTAATTTTTTGTATTTTTAGTAGACATGGGGTTTCACTATGTTGGCCAGGCTGGTCTCGATCTCCTGACCTCGTGATCCGCCTCCTCGGCCTCCCAAAGTGCTGGGATTACAGGCGTGAGCCACCGCGCCCGGCCGAGGGGAAGAGCATTTCAGGCAGAGAAGACAACATGTATAAAAACACATGGAAACCAGCTGTAAAGTTTGGCTAAAGCACAAGATGACATTCTATTCTTTTAAAAGAAAAATCTCAGGTGTAAACAGCATGCTCTTATCCATGGTCATTGCTGATGTCTGTAACTGCGGGGCAATGTCTCTAATTGCAGGAAGATGGACTTTAAACTTACAAATTTACCATTGCTGTATTTCCTAATCAGACCCATGTTTTATCATCTGCTTATGCTAGAAACATATTCCAAGATTTTCACAGACATTGGAAACAGCTCCCGCCTACTGAGACCACGGAAGTGTGAACCATAGATACTGTCATCATTAAACTCATAAATCCATGTCATTTGTGTGTCATTCACTTCATCCTCATTCATCATCCCTTCCACTTTCAGAATGGCTATTCGTTTGAGGATTTTGAAGAACGGTTTGCTGCAGCCACCCCGGTAAGAATTACAGCCCTCTCTGGTTAACTGTTTCATGTCATTTTCTCATCATTCATTTCATGCTCATCAGTCATGCCTTGTGGTTACAGAACAGAAACCTGCCCACAGACTTTGATGAGATTTTTGAGGCAACGAAGGTAAGGCCTTGAGGTTTGTGTTAAATTAGGTTGTTCTGCTCATACTCATGCATTCCATATTCTCTTCATCCAGCTTGCATGAATGGCAGATTTCCTGCCCTGCTCTGCTCTAGTAGGTACCTATTCAAATGTCCCCAGGAAGACTATTGGTGGGCCCTGCCATGAGGTCAGATAGTGAGAGTGTATGTACACGTGTGTGTGTGTGTGTGTGTGTAAACAAAAGTGTATGTTGGAGAGGAGATAGCACCCCTTCTTTTCATCCAGCAATATTTTTCAAACCTCTAACATGTCCCAGGCATCCTAACAGATGCTAGAGATGGAGGAAAGGGGCTTTCCTAAAGAAGCTCACAGTGTAACATAGTGCAACATTGCCTGGGATAAGATATGACAGTAGAGCCTCGCCTAGCTTAGTGTAGTATATGTAGTATAACATGATATAGTAGGAATTCAGATACATGAACAGGACGTGCCAAGTACACCACTGGGAATAAAAAACAGGCGAGGTTGCTATTCAGTCAGTATAACCTGGTATAAATATATTGGTTGCAGTCAACATCTGTTCAAATTGATTGATACAGAAGCCAATGAATATTACCACTCCTAAATACAGTATTGGGAAACCTCTAGGACAAAAATCTTCAACCTTGGCATCAAATTGGAATCATCAGGAGAGCTTTCCAAGTTCCAGTGACTAGGTTTTACCTCAAACCAATTAATTCTGAATCTTTAGGGGTGGGAACCAGGCATCAATAATTTTTCCGCAGATGATCTCAATGTGCAACCAAGGTTGAGAACCACTGATCTGGGAGTATCATGGGCAATGGAATAGGGTACAAATTGAGTTAGGAAGCCACTTCATAGGAAGCAAAACAGAAAGCCTTCTAATTTGCGTCCTGAAGGATGTGTGGGAGAAGGAATGAGTGTTCTAGGTGGGAGGAGGAGCACATGTCAGACCCTGAGATGGCCTCTTCTTTCATAACCCCCTGTGCTTCTCTCCTCCATTGATTGTGTCTCTGGGTCTGTGTTTCCATAAAACAGCCAGCTTATGACAATAGGAACAGGAATGTGCCTTACCTATCTCTGTAGCCCTTGCTCTTGGTAGCTGATGCAAGGTAGGAACTCCCATGTCTGCCCACTGAAGGGTCACAGAACTCCTGATGCCAAAACATAGGGAATGGGTCTGTGAGAAGGTGTTTTCGGGGTCAGCCATGACATCTCAGCCTCCATCAATGGTGCCTTCAGAATTTCTCTTTGGGAAAGGCCTAGGGGTCTAGTTGCAGTGAACTAGTTGGAAGGACCAGTATACTAATCTTGAACTAGATATTACTGAAAAACCATCACTTGTTCATATCAAAGAATGACTGGGGAGAGAACAGGCCTGATGGAGATACTGGGGGACTACCTCCCTAAACATCGAAGCTACTTTTCCTTCACTGTCCTGTACACCTTCCAATATCACTCTTCTTACCCCTGGAAAATGCCCAGGGGGCTAAAAAAGGGGCAAAACTGCCATCTCCAGCTACATCTCTCTTTACCAGGAGACATTTGAAATGCCAGTAATGGAAGGGCCTTACTCTCTGGCAAATAGACATCTCAAGCTGACATTCCAAATGACCTCAAATGGATGTGCATCATGGAAGACCTCCTAGCAACCCAGATTTCTGGTTAGAGAATGTTGTAGAGCTGGACTTCCACTATTTAGCAAGGCTAACTAAGGTTTGGTAAAGTGATGGATCGATGAACAAGATGCTGGTGGGTGTGTGGGTCAAGTCCATCCCAGCTGCTTTTAGCTGACTGATCAGAGGCGAGTCACTTAACCTCAGCCTCAGCTAGTTCATCTGTGAAACATAGATAGTGACAATGGCGCCTATGCTGTTGACTTTACGGGGCTCAGTGAGTATCAAACACGATGATAATGTATTTGAAACTGTATTGCAAACTATAAAGTGTTTTGCAAATGTGAATTGTTAGTTTTATTCTCTTGAGGCTTTTAAAATGATTCATTAGAGCAGTATTATCAGATGGAACATGGTTTATTAGCTTACAAATAAAAGGACTGGGGTTAACATGGGGAGGAGGCCTGTGAAAATAGATACTATTTCAGATTCTTGACCACATATGGTTATTAGGATTATTTTTAATTTTATGGCCCAAGAATCCCCTTTTTCTATAAAATTTAATTAACTCAAGGTTCTATTTAAACAGCAAACCAATGGAATGAAATAACAATCTATGTTTTATGCCTCTGCATGTTTTTCTCGTTTAATCCTTGAGTGAAAATCATCTGGCAAAAGGAAAGTCTATATCTCAAGTATGAAGGTTATTTTAAAAGTTGTGCTTAAGGAGAAAATTAGCCAATAAATTATATTTATGATGTTAGTAAAAGTATGCCATGAGTTCAACACATTTGAAATGTAAATTGTGTGACTTAATTAATAACTTCATTTTAATATTTTCCTAACACTGAAAATAGTTGTGACCCATTTTAAAAGCATAGAGTTGCAGTCTCAAAGAAGCCCAGAAGCTTCATTTGAATTGATTAAATAAACATTCCTTTTATGAATTTGGAAGAGGGTCTAAAAGACTAGCATAGCTTCACCAAATAATATCAAATATTGCTAACGTGCTAAAGAAGGATTACCAAAGAAGAACATTTCAAGTCCAGCAAGATTTGGGAGAGCACCTGTGTGCTGTCCACCTCATTCCCATCAGCTGCTGGGCTGTTACTGTATGAAAGAGAAACAAGATAGCCAGGAATTGATGGAAAAGGCTGGGAAAGGTATGAAATTCCCACCACAACCTTGCCCTTGTCCACCACACTGGCCTCCTCTCTCCCACCTTCATGTTGGTAACAGTGAACTGCTTCCATTACCACCTACCTACTCTGTTCTGGGCCTCTGGCCATTTTAAGCAGTTTCCTCTGCCTGGATGGTCTCCTCTTTTTGGTCACATGGCTCCTCTCCTTCAGGATTCAGCTCCTGGCTATTTCCTTTAGAAAACCTTCTTAAACTTTGCCAAAAGCTGGTTGGGCCTCTGTATTAGTCTGTTTTCATACTGCTGATAAAAGCATACCCAAGACTGGACAGAAAAAGAGGTTTAATTGTATTCACAGTTCCACTTGTCTGGGGAGAGGCAGAAGGCAAAGGGCACTTCTCGCATGGCAGCAGCAAGAGAAAATGAGGAAGATGCAAAAGCAGAAACCACTGATAAACCCATCAGATCTCATAAGACTTATTCACTATCATGAGAATACATGGGAAAGACCAGCCCCCATGATTGAATTAACTCCCCCTGGGTCCCTCCCACAACAAATGGGAATTCTGGGAGATAAAATTCAAGTTGAGATTTGGGTGGGGACACAGCCAAACCATATCATTCTGCCCCTGGCCCCTCCAAATCTCATGTCCTCACATTTCAAAACCAATCATGCCTTCCCAACAGTCCCCCAAAGTCTTAACTCATTTCAGCATTAACCCAAAAGTCCACAGTCCAAAGTCTCATCTGAGACAAGACAAGTCCCTTCTGCCTATGATCTGTAAAATCAAAAGCAAGCTAGTTACTTCCAAGATACAATGGAGGTACAGGTATTGAGTAATTACAGCCATTCCAAATGGGAGAAATTGGCCAAAACAAAAGGGTTACAGGGCCCATGCAAGTCTGAAATCCAGCAGAGCAGTCAAATTTTAAAGCTCCAAAATGATCTTGTTTGACACCAGGTCTCACATCCAGGTCACGCTGATGCAAGAGGTAGGTTCCCATGGTCTTGGGCAGCCCTTCCCCTGTGGCTTTGCAGGGTACAGCCTCCCTCCCAGCTGCTTTCAATGGGCAGGCATGGAGTGTCTGAGGCTTTTCCAGGCTCATGGTACAAGCTATCAGTGGATCTACCATTCCTGGGTCTAGAGGACAGTGGCCCTATTCTCACAGCTCCACTAAGCAGAGCTCCAGTAGGACTCTGTATGGAGGCTCTGACCACACATTTCCCTTCCACACTGCCCTAGCAGGAGTTTTCCTGAGGGCCCTGTCCTTGCAGCAAACTTCTGCCTGGGCATCCAGGCATTTCCATACATCATCTTAAATCTAGGTGGAAGTTCCCAAACTTCAATTCTTGACTTCTGTGCACCCGTAGACTCAATACCACATGGAAGTTGCCAAGACTTGGGGCTTCTACCCTCAGAAGCCACAGCCTGAGCTGTACATTGGTCCCTTTCAGCCACAGCTAGAGTGGCTGGGACACAGGGCACCAAGTCCCTAGACTGTATACAGCACAGGAACCCTGGGCCCAGCCCACAAAACCACTTTTTCCTCCTGGGCCTCCAGGCCTGTGATGGGAAGGGCTGCCATGAAGGTCTCTGACATGGCCTGGAGACATTTTCCCCATGATTGTGGGAATAAACATTAGACTCCTTGCTACTTATGCAAATTTCTGCAGCTGGCTTGAATTTCTCCCCAGAAATTTTTTTTTTCTATCACGTAGTCAGGCTGCAAATTTTTCAAACTTTTATGCTCTGCTTCCCTTAGAAAACTGAATGCTTTTAACAGCACCCAAGTTACCTATTGAATGCTTTGCTGCTTGGAAATTTCTTCTGCCAGATACCCTAAATTATCTCTCTCAAATTCAAAGTTCCACAAGTCTCTAGGACAGGGGCAAAATGTCACTGGTCTCTTTGCTAAAACATAGCAAGAGTCATCTTTGCTCCAGTTCCCAACCAGTTCCTCATCTCTATCTGAGACCACCTCAGCCTGAATTTTATTGTCCTTATCACTATCAGCATTTTGGGCAAAGGCATTCAACAAGTCTCTAGGAAGTTCCAAACTTTCTCACATTTTCCTGTCTTCTTCTGAGCCCTTCATACTGTTTCAACCTCTGCCTGTTACCCAGTTCCAAAGTTGCTTCCACATTTTTGGGTATCTTTTCAGCAACACCTCACTCTACTGGTAACAATTTTACTGTATTAGTCCATTTTCATGCTGCTGATAAAGACATACCCAAGACTGGGAAGAAAAAGAGGTTTAATTGGACTCACAATTCCACATGGCTGGGGAGGCCTCAATATCATGGCGGAAGGCAAAAGGCACATCTTACATGGCAGCAGCAAGGGAAAGTGAGGAAGAAGCAAAATTGGAAACCCCTGATAAACCCATCAGATCTTGTGAGACTTATTCACTATCATGAGAACAGAATGGGAAAGACCAGCCCCCATGATTCAATTACCTCCCCGTGTGTCCCTCCCACAACATGTGGGAATTCTGGGAGATACAATGCAAGTTGAGATTTGGGTGGGGACACAGCCAAACCAGATCAATTTCCTTCTAGGTACTCCCACAGCATCTTGTAGAGACCCCTGTTGCTATTTCTGCTGCATTACCTGAGATTATTTGCATCTACAGATTGGATAACCTCCCCACCAGTCTGTAAACTCTCTGCAGGCTGAGAGTTGGCATTTCTCATTTTTATGTTCCCAGCACATAGCACAGTGCCCAGCATCTAGCAGTTGTTGAACATTTATGAAAAATTATTGTGCAGCTGGAAAGAAAATCAGTCCTTATAGGGCCCTACTGTGTGCCAGGCACTGTTATTCAATCTGAAAGCTGAAAGGGAAGGAAGAGCTGCAAGTAAGTTAACAAAGCCAAGCTTGTCTCCTTTCAGCAAAAAGAGACTTTTGTGCTCTTTCAACCAGTCTTAACCAAACATCAAAGAAAGTTCTCCTATTAATATTGTCAATACATCTGCAAAGGAGATCTTATCATCTCCATTGCCCAGATGAAGGAACTGTAATTCTGAGGAGTTGCAGATATTGAAAGTGGTAGAATCCAAATATACCCCCTGTTGGGGGGTAGCTACTATCTGGGCCCAGCGGTCCAGGCAGTAAAGGAATTTATGAAGACATTTGTGGGTAAAGAAAGGTAGACTTATTAGAGAAAGTATGAAAATACATTGCAAGATTGCAGTGGGCAGCACAGCAGAGAAGGGGCTGTCTGCAAAGAGGCAGGGGCTGGATGGAAGTTTTATAGGGTTGTGCTGGAGGGGCTACCTGCAAACGAGGTGGTTGTGCCCTTGGGTTGTTTGTGATTAACCATCCCTCAGAACAATTATTCCTTGTTCTTCCCCATCTGGGACCCTCCCTGACCTGGGGCTCCTTTCTCTTGTGGTTTATCTTACCAGTACTCCACACCCCCAGGCATGGAGTGTGGGACCTTTTCCAGAGCCCAAAGCTTGCTCACTTGCCAGTAGGAAAGAACATTCCCTTCTTTGGATGAACCTAGAGATCCAGCCATGACCTGGTTAGAGCGGTTTGAGTGCAGGAGTCCTGTGTGGCAGGGCAGTCGGACTCTTCACATCCCTTCTACTAAGTGGTATGTCTAAGTTCCCCCAGTTTGAAGCTATCACTTAAGATCTGAAGATAAGGGAAAAGTGGTTTTTCCTTAGTGGACAGGTTTGTACAAAGCATGTGATTACATACTTGTCATAATTAAGTCACGCCATAGACTCCCTAGAGTCTGTGAATCTGGCAGTTTATGCAGATTAATTTCTAAGTGTATCTTAAAGGGTTTCTTTAGCTGCTGTGGCTGGCCTTGCTCAGACACTCCCATATGATGGATGGGGAGAGAGATGATGCAGTGTCTGCAGTGATGGAGTTCCTAGGAGTGATTAATGGTGTATACACTGGGTTGTTTTTGATGCCTTTCCTGGTATTAAATGAAATGTTTTCTTTTCCTCCAACCACATTTTTTTATCCTAAAGATGGACTCTTTCAGAGAGTGCTGTTTGACTGCATTCTCTGTATTCAGAAAATTTAAATCGTGGCCTGGATGACCTTGATGCCACATCCCTGAGACTTAGTTTATTTATTTGTAAAAATGAGGATGATGATTCCTACCTCTCAGGGTGAATGCTATTGGGAGCCCTTACTGACGTGACCATGAAGTCATGTCCATACTTGCACATGGAAGGCAAGTTGTATGTGTGGATACACTCATGAGAGAAAAACCAATGATGGGATTGCCTCCCTGCCTTTATCTCCTAGAAAAGAGAGACATTGCTGGCATTTGATGGTAAATAAGTGTGAAGTAATGTTATTACTGCTTATGGGAAGTGATTAATGGGCAGTCTTGACCAAGCCTAGATAAATAGCCAGATGCAAGGAAGCAAGAATTGATTCTGGCTGCATTCAAGATGTTGCCTTTGGGATCCTGAGGTATAGTAATGACCCATCAGGATTACGGTTTATCTAGAGATGATGAAAAACAGAAATGTGTATCCCCATACCATACTGTGTGTAAAGCAGGGCCCAGCAGCACCAGCTTTCTTTGTAGTCACATGATTACCTTTTTGTCTTTACAGGCTGTGACCCAATTAGAACTTTTTGGGGACATGTCCACACCCCCTGATATAACCTCTCCCCCCGTAAGTATGCATTGCTCTCTGAACCCTGCTCTCTGAATTCCTTTCTTTACACATCCCCTCAGTGGCCAGAATATGGGCTTTGAGTGAAAGAGGGCTGCTGGTGGATTTCAGTGTTGACTCTTTCAAGCTGTGTGACTTGGACAAACTAACTAGTCATTCTGATCCTTAATTTGCTTGGCTATTTATAAAGGGGAAGTATGATATATGCCTCTGTTTTGAGAAATAAACGAGACCATGCATTTAGCAATGACAGGACTTGCCTGGGTGCTTGCTGTTCTGCTGTGGTCTGAGAAGAAAGGCCCGAAGGAGATGTGCTTCCTGACTACAAGGGGCACATCGTCTGGTTGGGATTGTAGGCAGGAAACTCGGGATAGCACATATGATGAGGCATTTGTCAGCACCTGCCCCAAGCCCAGTACAGCATAGGTGGTCAGCCCAGTAAAGGAAGGATCTTCTCCCCACACCCTGCTCTGCCCATCCTTCTCTCCTTTCCCTCTTTCTTTCCTCTCTCCCTCCTTTTTGTTTCTTCCCTCCCTTCCAGCCTGCCCTTCAGCTTTGCAGACCATGACCTGGGCCTCACTGAGCTTCTCAAGAAGCTCTGGATTCCCAGCCACAGCTTCAGCCAGTGTACCTCAGTCAGTGCTTACAAAAGGACAGAGATTGCAGGGAGAACCTAATTTGAAAACGAAAAGAAGAAAACAGAATTAACACCAAAGCAAAACAGAATCCCAGTGCTGGATGCATTCAAAAGCAATTCTGCCACCACTGCAAAGAAAAGAGCCGAGATGGCCCCTCCAGCCCCTCCCCTGCCCATTCCCGGAGGAGGGCAGAGAGCAGTCAGCCGCAGCTGCACCAGCTGAAGCTGCCGGGAGGGGACAGCTCCTCTGGGCACTGCGCAGTTGTGCAAACCGAGGGATGGTGCTATGGTTCATTGGCAAGATGCGCCTCACAGAGAAAAGGCTGTAACCTCACCACTGAGGACAGATGGCACAAGACACTGCTGCCCACTGCTGCCACCAGGGAATCTAGGCACAGCTGCCCTGCTGCCAACACCTGATGTCCAAGGCAGCCTTGAGGGAGGGGACTGCAGCCTCTGTCCCCAAAGAAGCTGGATGGCTCTAGCGATTGTCATTCTACCCTTTATCCTGGGCTAAAAGCTTCTTCCTGGGAACTTGGAGTTGCAGAACGGCAGGGCTATGCAGCTAGAAAGGGTTGAAGAGATCTTCTAACCTTATCCCCTTCATTTTACAGATGAGCAAACTGAGTCCCAGAGAGGACATGTGACTCACCCAAGGTCACAAAGGGGAAAGAAAGAACAGCACTGACTGTGTTTAAAAGTGCTTAACACAGCAGCTCATGGCTGTGTTTCTGGCCCTGAACCCAAGCGCAGTCCAAATGGGTATTTAATAATCCTCAGAACAATGCCATTCGTCCTGCAAGCTGCTAGTCTAAAAATGGCCTTGTCTAATTGCCATGATTTCAGGATTAATTGCTTGCCCCAGCCTATTCCAAGGGGAAAAAAAAGGATATTACAGCATCGAACAGATTTACACTCTGTAGGCAAAAGCCTGCTATAAATGGGTGTGGACATATACAAAATTATGAGTACTGATGTTTTCATTTCTGTATCCCCCATCTTGCCCACCAGTCCATGCAGCAGACCTTTTTGGAATTCCAGCACCGACTAGGCCCTGTAGAATTTTCAGTGGTGCAAGCATTGTTTCTTGTTGTCTTCTTGAAAATATTTACTTCTTTTTGCAAATGAAGATTCAGGCAAAATCTGGGGCGCTGACGGGGGGTGTGGCGGGGGGGCACCAGGATACAAGGGTCTGTGCACCACTTGCTAAATTTTGTGTGTTGATTTAGTCAACAACTGCTCATTGACCGTGTATTAAATTGCAACCCCTGAGCTGGGCACACAGTAGGTCTTGAGTGGGTGTATTTCAGTTTGAGTTGGCCACCTCTAAAGGGTGAGTGCCAAATATTATGGAAAATTTGATACCTGAAAACACCCCCCAGGGAGTAGGGGCTCAAACTAAATCATTAGGATACTGGCCATTATTTGCCAAGCACCTACTACATGCCTATGCACGGTGCTAAAAATTTAAGTAATGTAAAATAATTTAATTACATAATCTCACTTAATCCTCACAGTAGCTCTGGAGGTGTCATTTCCCATATAGATAAAGTGTATGTAACCAGCACATGGGCTGCACACCCCATAAGTGGCTTGAACTGTGGACCCCTTCCCCTGCGCCTTAATTCCTGCATCTGCTACCTCCCAGCCTTGATGACTGCTAAGCCAGGTCTCATGTGTCCTCTGCCTCTCTCTGTCTGGCAGACTCCTGCAACTCCAGGTGATGCCTTTATCCCATCTTCATCTCAGACCCTTCCAGCGAGTGCAGATGTGTTTAGTTCTGTACCTTTCGGCACTGCTGCTGTACCCTCAGGTAAGCCCTCTTCCACCAGCTTCCCTTCCTTTGGCCTTCACTCATTAAGAGAGAGAAAGAGTTTACAGAGCCAGCCACCGAATGATGATAAAACACTGCTGTTCTCTCCTGTGACTCTTCAGGTGACATTGAGAAGCTATTTAGAGGAGGAGGTGGTGTTGGGGTCCAGAGCTCTGGGATGTTACTGGCCTGGAATTCACTGATGTCTTTCACCCAGACAGCTCAAGATTCTATGTTACTCAGGTGTGCAGCTTTTGGGAGCATGGCATATGCACAGCTGTGCAATTAGCCCAAGTCCATTTCCACTCTTCCACCTCTGCCAGGAGAGAAAGCAATAAGCAGGGGAGGACACGGAGTCAGCTTTCTATAGACTTCTTGAGACCTGATGGATAGAAGGGGTCTGCCTTACTTGGTGCTGACTCAAGGAAAGGGAAGGTCCCCAGACAAAGTGGGGAGCACCCTATGGGACAAGAGCAAACTGCTAACTGAGTTGTGAGAATAATGAGACTCCTGGTGAGTTAGAAAGTATGTGTTCTGTTTTTCAAATAGTCTTTAAATGTATTTACTACTTTTACAACAAGTTAAAAAAATATATAGTGGCAGTATTGCAGGTGAGTTACAAATGGATGGAGCCCAGCAATCTTACCTTGTTTCCATGGCATGAGGCGTTCCATGTGGCCAGGCCACTGTACTTGCAAATAGCCAAAGGTAGTTTAGTTCTGTTTTTGACATACATGGGAGCCTTAAAGGGTTTTGTGGTTTTCTTTAACTATGTATTTGAAATCTGTGGCTTTATCTTTCTTGCCTTTATTCTTATAAATGGCAAATAGAGTTGTTTGAATATTTTAGAATACCAATCTTCTTGCATTTTTTTCTATAATTACTTTTAATTACATACTGTTAGAAGCAAATTCTTGCCACCAAATATAAACTGTGCTTTTATTCAAAGTAAATTAAAAATGCATACCCTGTTCTAAAATAGTTACGGTTATTACTCATGAGCTAAGGGATCATTATGAACTTTTAGAAGCAATAGAGGTTGGTAACCCTTGGATCTAACTTACAGTTTAGACTGCAAATTGCCTAGAAATGTATTCAATTGTGAAGTTTCCCAATCTAATCTTTAAAAAGGGATAGTGATGATGACTAGTTTTCCTTACCTAAAATAGATATTAAAATATCCATGGGACTACTATAATGGCACATGCCATTTTAAATAAGAGTAAGAGTTTTCCATCAGAAATGCACCACCCTTCTATGCTTGAGTCTTGTGTTCGGAGTGCCCATGCTTTGTCCTCATTGTTTTATCTGTAAAGGGTATGCTGGGACAGATGATGGCCCCAAACTTACAAATTTGCAGGCATGTTCATTTCAAAAATGCTCACCAGGTGCCCTCTATGTTCCAGGTCCTGTGTAGGTGCTTGGGATGTGCTAGTCCACACAACAGACAGAGAGCCTACCTTTTACTGGGAAGACAGGAAATAACATAAAAATAAGTAATTTGCATAATATATTTAAAAATGAGAAGTGATAGGGACAAAAGAAAATGCAGACCAGAGCATGGGGGCTTTTGAGTGCAGGCAGAGGGCAGGTGTAAGTGGAGCCCCTGTAGTCACGAGGGGCTCTTGCCTAGGTGACATGTGACAGGACTAGCAGGGACAGGAAAGTCTCAAGTAGGCATCAGAGTTCCAGGTACTCCAGGCAGAGGAATGACTTGGTCCCCCAAGTCTCCATTCCCTTCTCTATAATTGAGAAGATGGGACTAGATGCAATTTTATATCTCTTCCAGCCCTAACATTTGATTAAAAACACGCTGAGGACCTGCCTGGGTGTATTAGTCCATTCTCACGCTGCTGATAAAGACATACCTGACACCGGGTAATTTACAAAGGAAGGAGTTTTAATGGACTCACTGTTCCACATGGCTGGGTAGGCCTCACAATCATGGTGGAAGAAAAAGGAGGAGCAAAGGAATGTCTTACATGGTGGCAGACAAGAGGGCTTGTGTTCAGGGGAACTCCCCTTTATAAAACCATCAGATCTCATGAGACTTACTCACTACCATGAGAACGGTGTGGGGAAAACCACCCCCATGATTCATTTATCTCCACATGGGGATTATTACAATTCAAGGTGAGATTTGGGTGGGGACACAGCCAAACCATATCACTGGGTCAGTCACAGCACTGCTCTGGGCCCTCTTTCAAACCTGTACCAGATTAGGGACTTGGAAGACCTGGGTTTTAGTCTTGCTGCTTAACCAGCCACATTGGAAGCTATGGACAAGCCACTTCCACATATCCAGATTTCCTTTCTTTAGCTGCTAAAATTTTGATAGATTACCTCCAAGATTTCAACTTTTAGAACACGAGTCTAAAATTAATTTCAATTAGCATGTTTTTGCTTTCTGACTCTAGTTAATATGACAGAACTGGCTTCAGTTGGTGTTAAACTGTGTGCCCTATTTCTCCCTTAACTGGCCATAAAAATTTCTGTAGCTATTGAATCCCGATCTCCTTGTGACTAATTGTCCAGCCAGTGATAAGGAGACAGGGAAGTGAACTGGAGTATGTGATACAACGGATGGACTGGCTCCTGGGGGCTTTTGAATCTAATGGGCCAGGTTTGGATCCTGATTCAGCCATTATTTCTAAGCTTTAGACTCCTGGGCAAATTACTTGACCTGTCAGAGTCAGAGTTTCTTCATCTTTATAACTGAGTGTAAAATAATACTTACTTTGCAACAATATCAAGAGAATTAAATGAATCACTACATTAACTGCAGCTGTAGAAGTGGTATCACTACACACTGAAAAATGCTGGCACATCATCAATATTTAGTGTAGAATATGCTGTATTATTATGATTACTCTGATTTCTACAGTAGATGAATATATGTCCTGTTCTACCTATATTTTTTCCTTTACCTGGAAATTAGTGCCTGTAATAAAGTTTAGGTCTTCAGCCTCTTGACTGCTTATAGCAGACAGCAGGAGAATGGGTGGCCTGGAGAATGTACTATGTATGAACACAAGCTCTGCCACTAGCCAGCTGCACCATACTCAGATAAATATCTTCTGAGCCTCAGGGAACTTACCCCGTTTTAATGGGGATGATCATAATTCTACCTCATAGAGTTTTTCTAAGGATTGCATGAGTAAATGCACATTGTAAAATAGGTACAACAGTTCCTGGCAGTGCTTCCATCAGTAAGCACTCAACAGATGTTTGCTACATGGTTCTTCAGGAGCCTTGGATCTGCTATTCATACAGTGTGTAGCTGCATCAAATCTTTCCCTCATGGAGTTGCAATTTCTCCTATACAAATTAAAGAGATAGCAATCACACTCACCCCAGAGGCTTGTGGAAAGGATCACCTTCACAAAAATGTAAGCTGCACAGGGTAAGAATTTTTTTTTTTGGTGACTGTTTTGTTCTTTGTTTTGTCTCCACACACTAAAGCAGTGATTGGCACCTAGTGGAGGTATTTTTGAATGAATGAATCCATCAAATGAGATAATGTAGATAAGAGATGTCATACAAGTTCTGTATAAATGTTGGAGGAGTTCCTTCGTTTTTAGTGCTTTTCTTATATTTCAGTCTGCCTTTTTTTCTTTTTTCAAATAATGGGGGCATCCCCAGGTGTCAGCATCTGGCTGTAAATCACAATTTTCAACACTTTTTAAAAACCTAACTGTAAGGCAGCAAGGCAGGTGTTCCCTTTCACTCCACAGCAAGGAGATTTATGATTGCTCTGAACTTCACGGCATAAACAGATGCTCCTTAGTACCTCCTCCCTCCACTATTGGACATTAATTGTAAACAGTTAACAAGCTGTTAAGTGGCTGCAGTGGCAGCCACCAAGTGGCTCCCTCTGTCCAGTGCCACCACTGTCCTGCTGCTGACGTGTCCCTTCGCTCATGCACAAGACCATGTGGCCAGACAGCCTTAACTCACAGGCCGAGGAGAGCCAGCCTGCAGGGAACCCCTAGGAAAAGTGAGTGGGACCTGCAGGCTCCTAAACATGATACCCAATTACCCTGTGCTGCCTTTTTTCTTTTGAATATTGTACTTTGGTCTGGAGCAGATGGCATGAAGCCAGAGAGACATGCTAATAGCTCTCTCCAGAAAAGTGTGCACAGCCCATCTGTTAGCTCCTTGTGGAAAAAAAATAAAAGATGGGAGGGGAAAAAAAACCTGCCACCAACAGTAGAATCATCAGAGATCACAGCACTTATGCATTGTGGGTTTAATTAGACACCGGGAAAAATGCAGTGAATGTATTGACTAGGACTCATTTACCTTTATGTAGGGCCTTTCTCCCGTCCCAAACCATGCTAGGCAGGGTGGAAAGAGAGAGAGAATAAAGAGTTCCTGCCAGCAGGTGGTTTCTAGTCTCATCAGGGAAGATAGAACAACCAGGCAATTGCAAGGCAGTGTGACAAGTGTCATGATAGAGGTGAGCACAGGGTACTGTGGAAGCCCAGAGAAGGACCAGTGGTGCTGACAGGAGCAAGAAGCCATCCAACAGAGGTGATAGTGAACTGAGTCTCCAAGAGCAAATCAGGGTTAGACAGCACAGAAGCAGGGGGATGGCTTTCCAGGCAGATGGGCCAGCAGAGACAAGAGACAGCAGGTTGGGTTTTGTTTGCAAATGCTGGAGGGCAAGGTGCAGTGAGGATATGGATTGAAGATAGTGATGAAGAGGTGGAAGGAGCTGACCCCCAAGGACGCATAGCCAAGCTAAGACATCTGAGCCTTATACTTAAGACAATGAAGTACCATATATGCATTTAAAAACAGTCCTTCATGGCAGCAAGGAGGGTGGAATAAAAGCAAAGCCAAAAACAGGCTGATGTCAAGAGAGTGAAAACATCCACTCATTCACCAAAATGGGCATCAGGTCTTGGGTGATTGAATCTGTGGGTAGTTCTCCACCTGCAGACCCAGCACCCCCTTCTTATTACAAATATTTGCAATACCTCCTTTCACACCTTGAAATGAATTTCATAGATAATGTAGTCTAGCTACACAATTTTTCAAAATGAATATAATTCTCTAACTGTAGTATAAGGCAGAAAGAAAAGAAAGAGAACTTGTAATAAAAATATATGTATTTAAATAAGGAAATACTCAGGCGTGAGCACACTAGAAGACATAAGAGTCAGATGTATATACCTGTAAGTAGAATCACTACTGAAAGCCACAGCTGTAAGTCCAGGCTAATACAGAAGTGTCATGTGGCTACACCACCATGAGAAGCGCTTCTGTCAGGGATGTCAGGCACTGCCATTTTCCAAAATAGTGAACACCTTTTGACAGTGTTCCAAACCAAAAATACAGTCTTCTCTCCTGTGCACAGTTGTTGAATTCCTGGAAAATTAAATGCATTAAAATCAAATGCAAAGATAACTGAATTTCCATGTAATTCAAAGTCGATTCTAGGTGCAAATGATCATAAACAGGATGTGGAATAATGCTTTGTCGTACGCATTGGTCTCAGACATAATAGGATGTCTACTGTCAATGCTTGGGCCTCCTAAATGCCAGTAGTGCCACCCCCTCCTCTTGTGACAACCGAAACACACCCCACAAATTTTCTAGCCACCCCTAGGGGGCAGTAGCACTCCCACTGAGAACCACTGGGCCATATCAAAGTAAACCAGAAAACAAGACAGAGTTGCCGGATTCTTCATCTGTTGGTAGATTTAAGCCACTACATTATTATGCCATGGGCGAGGCAAGCTAAGCAAGCTTCACGTTTGAAATTTCAGCTCCAGGGCCTCTTCACCCCTCTTGTTTCAGTGCAGTTGGACAAAGTGGTCTTACAAGATATTCTCCATTTTGTTTGTTGACATCATTGTTTTATTCCGCAGAAGTGTTTAACACTGCGAGATTAATCAGCAAGAAGCCCAGGTGTCCTGTTGGTGCCTCTCTGGAGCCTCCTGTTAGGGAAGCACGGCATGAGAGGAAATGGGCACCTTGCGAGGAAAATGACCAGGCCTTGAATATTGGCTCTAGCCTGTATCAGTCAGATGAAGGCGGGTACATCTGTGACTTGAGCATGGAGTGAGGCACCCTGCATTGGATCTCTCTGGGCTCACAAGAGTCAGTGAGATGACTCATAATGTCATCAATGCCGTAACGCCCACCCATTGTCCCTTTGGAAGTTGCTAGGATACTCTGCATCCATTCCTCTTTTTTTCCTGGTACACTGCCTCGGTACATTCCTACTGACAGCCATGGAAAGGCTAGTTTTGAGAGGCCAGGCAAAGCTAGCTTCTCTGTTCTCTGCTCTGCCCAGCCTGAGAACTTGTCTCTCAGGCTCAACTGCACATAGAGGTGGCCATTGTGTCCCCTGAGAAGGGTGGGGACCCCTGGAAGCACATGGGAGTTTCCTGCAGGCCTGCAGTATTCTAATACAATCAAATAGAAGGCAAGGAGGTCTATTAACTGCAAAGATCAGAAATTGGTCTTGGCCATCTGGGTGAGGCAGTGTGTGGCACAAAGGAAGGAACCCTGGCTTTGGGGGGACAGACAACCTCAGTTTGACCCTGCTCCTACTTCATACAACCTGTATGACCCTGAGCAAGTTGCTTTTCCTTGAGCACCAATTTCTTCATCCCTAAAATACAGATAATAATACCTACCCTGCCGGGATTTCGTGAAGACATAAAACACCTACTAGTGTACGTGGCGTGTTGTAGGCATTTAATAAGTGGAGCTTGTTGCTGTTACTATGTTACTATTATTATTATAACAAGTGTTGCTTGTGCTCCTGTTGAAATGTATATGTCTTACCTAAAAAGAATAATACAGTGAACAATTATCATGGTAATACGTGTGAGTACAGGATGTGGGGTTTTGCAGTGTGTAACCTGTACTGATGCATGAGGTGCCCCTGAGTGGACAATAACTTTCTTTCTTTTTTTTTTTTTAGAGACAAGTGTCTCACTCTATTACCCAGGCTGAAGTGCAGTAGGGTGATCATAGCTCAGTGCTGCTTCAAACTCTTGGGCTCAAGTGATCCTCCCGCCTCAGCCTCCTGAGTGCCGAGACTATGGAACTCTGAGCATGTGCCACCATTCCTGACTAATTTTTTAAAATTTTTGGTAGAGAAGAGGTCTTGTTATGTTGCTAAAGCTGGTCTCAAACTCCAAGCCTCAAGCAATCCTCCCACCTGGACCTCCCAAAGTGCTAGGATTACAAGCATAAGCCACCACATCTGGCCCTATTTTTTTTTTATTCTCTAAAATTGGAATAAGAATAATAATACAGAAATCATGCATAATACCTCTCGCTACCATTTATTACATGGCTCTTGTATATTAAGCAACGTAATAAGTAACTTTCTAGCCTCTATCTAATCCAAACCATACTACTAACTAACATTTACTGAATGTTGATCCTGTGTCAGGTACAATACTCCACATATTAAATATGTACTATCAATTAATCTTCAAATCAACCCAGTGAGATAGAAGGTGTTTATACCCATTTTACAAATAAAGTCATGGAGCCCTAGACAGATTTAAGAACTGCTCCCCAAATTACATAGATAAGAAGTGGCCATTTGAATTTTAACCTAGGTCTCTAAAACTCCAACATTCAGATTCTTACTCACTCTGCACACTGCCTAAGTCCTGTGAAGGAAGGTATTATAACCTGGTTTTACCACAAAGAGTCAGACTCTTAGAGAGCTTATGCAATTGAGAGGGTCCTAAGTGCAGCAGGAAGAGGAGGCAAGGAGAAAACCCAGGAGGCCTGCCTTCCATCCTTCTGCCCTGTCCCTGAGACACACAGCTTCTGAGGCTATGAGACTTTAGAAACTTTTAGCAACTACAGAAATGTGATTACTAGCATTCTAGTTTTTGCTTACAGATCATCTCCTCAGAGAGGATTTCCCTGACCACTTCTCTAGGATATAGGCTCTATGACAGCAAGGACTTTGTCTTGTTCATCTTGGCATCCCCAGTCCCTGGCACACAGTCTGGCACTTAGTTGGTGCTTGATACATTTCTGTCAATTACCTGAGTCCATGCATCCTTCTTTCCCAGGACACCAGGGAAACACCTGACTCTCCTTTTTCATTCTCCCAGGTTACGTTGCAATGGGCGCTGTCCTCCCGTCCTTCTGGGGTCAGCAGCCCCTCGTCCAACAGCAGATGGTCATGGGTGCCCAGCCACCAGTCGCTCAGGTGATGCCGGGGGCTCAGCCCATCGCATGGGGCCAGCCGGGTCTCTTTCCTGCCACTCAGCAGCCCTGGCCAACTGTGGCCGGGCAGTTTCCGCCAGCCGCCTTCATGCCCACACAAACTGTTATGCCTTTGCCAGCTGCCATGTTCCAAGGTCCCCTCACCCCCCTTGCCACCGTCCCAGGCACGAGTGACTCCACCAGGTCAAGTCCACAGACCGACAAGCCCAGGCAGAAAATGGGCAAAGAAACGTTTAAGGATTTCCAGATGGCCCAGCCTCCGCCCGTGCCCTCCCGCAAACCCGACCAGCCCTCCCTCACCTGTACCTCAGAGGCCTTCTCCAGTTACTTCAACAAAGTCGGGGTGGCACAGGATACAGACGACTGTGATGACTTTGACATCTCCCAGTTGAATTTGACCCCTGTGACTTCTACCACACCATCGACCAACTCACGTGAGTGCCCCTCACTTAAGACATAAAACCCAATGAGAGCCGTAACTCATGTCTGGAGGCGGGGTTTCTGGAGTCAAATAACTCATCTCACTTGCATTAATCAGGCTTCTTTGTTTATATTATTATTACTAGTAATACTACTATGAGCTGCCAATTTAGATACCACTGATAACATACAAACCTTCTTCATATGTTCCATGTTTATTTTTAGACTTATAATAATGCTTAATGATAAATTTTGTTAGACCTGTTTGACAGATAATGAAAGTGAGGCTCAAAGATGAAGACAATAGACAAAGTGGTATTGAATTGAATGTAAGCCTGGTATTTTTCCACCATGTTACTCTGCCTCTTAAGATTTTGTTTGTTTGCTCATTCATTCGTTCATTTATTTACGTATAGATAGCTTATGACACACAGATTTTGGCGTGGCTTATTGAAATAAAATGAATGCAAACTTTAAAAATTTGGGGAACAAGTTTTAAACATTAGAATATAAAATAAGGATCAAGAGAAAACTTAGGGCAGAGATACGCAGCCATAAGGTCTTAAATAGCTTTTATAGTTGAAGCCTCATTTTGGGTTAAAGCTTCTGGTAGTTAAAGGGAACAAAAAGATAGTGCTGCAGAAAGTTCTGGACTGGGAACCTGGAGATCAGATTTATTACTGACCAGTTTTGTGCCTTTTGGCAAAGCACTTTATTTCTATGAGCCTTGGTTTCCTCATCTGTGTAAGCGATGGGTTATTAAAAGGATTCAATGGTATATGTGCTCAAACATTATAGAACTCCCAGAATTTGAAGTATCTTTTATCCTCATTATTAGCACATGTTAAGTGTTTTTTTGCAGTCCTGGACCAGAGTTCTGGTGTTGACTCCTCCACCACAAGCTGTGTCTTTGGGCAAGCGTATGACTTCTCTGAGACTCAGTTTTATCATTGGTAAAATAAGTGAATTGGCTTGGATGAGCAGTGTGCATCCTTCTAGTTCCAGCTTTCAGTGAGTCTCCTCCAGCTCATATTTCTTCTGCAAACATCTGGAAAACAGTGACTGTGCAGCCAAATCAGAATCCAGATACACTTGAGCACATGTACACTTGTTTGACACAATTCAGGGAAGGTGTTCTGATGACTCAGCCTGTGCCTTGACACCTGATAAGAGGAAAGAAAAGGCTCATGCTGCAGTGAGTTTGGCGGTTTCATTACTGTCACAGGTGATATGGATCACTGCATGGCCAATACTGTGAACTGTCAAAAAAAAACACCCCTAATGTTAATACAATTAGATTGTGCCATTTCAGCCAGGTTCAGAATGCTATTCTGAAAATGAATGCCCTTAACGTGTATAAACAACCCACTTGCACTCAGGCCATATGATCTACATAGTGGCAGCATCTCTATTTATGCAGACTCACAGGGTTTCAATGAGGAATAATGAATAAAAAATGAAATGTTAAAGAAATGACAGCCATGCATAAATAAGCAAGCATCTTTTTAAAAACAAACATCTCTCTTTCAATGGACTTGTGTGCCAGCTACAAATGAAAGAGGAGAGTTTAAGTTCTTTGAGGGCAGGAACTGGCTCCATCATTCCTACACTTCTCATAATGCTAGCTTAGTGCCTGGGACATGAGAGGCATTTGGGAAAGGTTATAGAGAATGAAATAAACAAAATGGAGATGACTTAGCTACTGTTATGTTTTAGAGCATCGTTGGCAACCTCGGCACTATGGACATGTTGGGCCAGATAATTCTTTGTTTCAGAGGCTGTCCCATTGTAGGATGTTTAGCAGCAACGCTGGCCTCTAATCACTCTATGAGAGAAACGTATATCCCCTTCCTCTAGTGTCGAGAAAAATGACTCCAAGCATTGCCAAATGTACCCCAGGGATGAAATTGCCCCAGACTGAGAACCACTGCTTTAGAGTATTAGCAGCATCCTATAAAGCCTTCTAAAGATTAAGACACCTGCATAAATAAACTCCTGCTTATGCTTTCCATTGATTTCATTAGGTAAGTCTGAGCAGTATACCTGCCAGAACTGGCAACTCAGCTTGTGTTCTCAACCTTTAGTAAGCAAAAATCCACTTCAAATACAATTCAGGATCTAATTAAGCTAATATTTATTAAACATCTACTACCCTTCAGGGTGTTTGCATATAGCTTTAAACCCACTTTCAATACAGTTTGTTCCATAGTCATCTCCTGAAACAAAACAGATTTCATTGCAAATTTTTTTCCAAAAACTTGCTGTTTTATTTTGAACAAAATTAGAACCAGTCTTTATATCCTCTGACCCATCAGTATCCCCTTAAGAATGTTTTGGGAAGAGGATTGGTTGGATCAAAAGTGAACCTCAAATAGAAACAGAAAAGCACAGTTGGACTGGATAGTGTCAGACAGAGCTCTGTTAAATGCCAGTGCTGCTATTTCATAGCTGTGTTAACCCTTCGCAAGACACCTCACCTCCCTGAGCTGCAATTTCTCCATCTGGGAAACAAAAAAGTTATGATAACAACTTGCAGGTATTTATATTAAGGTGTATAATGAATGGGAAGTGCCTAGCACAGTGTCCAACTCATTGGCACATTATAAATAATAAGTTAGGAAATAGCATCATCTTTCTATATATAGATTCATCAGAGTAAAAAGTATGCACTAAGTTTTACAATCATTCACTGTCTGATTTCTAAGTTCTATAACATTAGGAAAATTCAGCTGCTAAATGAAGTCATGCCACCCTCTCACTTGGGTCTTAGCCAGTAACCAGTATTTTCAGTGACAAATTAGAATTTATTAAAAGAAGAGTGGTATCAAATGGCATATTTGTTCTAAACCTCTAAAACAAATGAGAGGAGATGTGGGTGGGTCAGCCCAGAAAATGCGTATCCTTTGTCCTTATAGAATCAAGTACCAGCTGTGAAGTTGCCATCAGCTACATCCATTTTCCCAGATCACTGAGACACTTTCTCTTTATTCAACATGTGTTTATTGAATACCTCCTATGTGCCAGGATTCAGAATCTGGTTCTACCAGTTGCCATGAGCAAATTAGCAAACTTCACTTTCCTTACCTGTCAAATTAGGATAACCTCTACCTCAAAGATGTTTTATGAGGATTAGAGATATTGTCTGTAAAGTTTCTAACAGTGTTTGACACATGAAAGGCGCTCAATAACGTGCCCTCTGATGAAACACAGAAAGAAGAAAGCAAACCATAGCCCAGTAGTTCTCAGCTTGATCATGCATCAGAATAACCTGTAGCAGGTTGTTCAAACACAGAGTCTGTGATTCAGTAGATCTGGGGTAGGGTCAGAAAATTTCATTTCTAACAAATTCCCAGATGCTACTGCTGCTGCTTGTCCAAGGACCATCCTTTGAGAACCACTGCCTTACCTATCAGTGTGGACGAGCTCCTTCCTGAAGTCAGATGTGTGAGAGGAAAGATCAATACGTACAGAGAGAGAATTCAAATATTCAACTGATTCCACTGGAAATAGGAAGAGGAATCCTAAGATTTGACTTCAATATAAGCAGATTCCTGAGGTTTCTTTGGGATACATTCATGGCAGCCAGGCACTTAAGATGTCTCTTTTTCTGTGGTCTCTGTGTAGCTCCAACCCCAGCCCCTAGACAGAGCTCTCCATCCAAATCATCTGCATCCCATGCCAGTGATCCTACCACAGATGACATCTTTGAAGAGGGCTTTGAAAGTCCCAGCAAAAGCGAAGAGCAAGAAGCTGTAAGTGACCAGTTTGTTATTTGTTTGTGTTTTTCCTTAAAATTAAGACCTCTGTAACTGAAATGGATAATGCATGAGGAAGCCTACATAGAAAAGAATGCTGGCTCAATCTCATAAGTTCTCAAGGGGTTGCTAAAGGGGCTTTCTTTTGTGTTCAAATGAGTCAGCTGAAAAGGACTGCCTTTTTATTAAATTGTTACTACAAGTCCACATTTGTGGTGTAGCATCCTCTAAATGCCGTTGCACCCTCCTTTACAATAACTGATTGTGCTGCATGAAAGTATATCCAGGTGTCTTATATTTTCAATGCTTGAAAAGAGAGAAAAAAAAAAGTATTATCTTCTTGTGTTCTAGCCTGATGGATCACAGGCCTCATCCAACAGTGATCCATTTGGTGAGCCCAGTGGGGAGCCCAGTGGTGATAATATAAGTCCACAGGCCGGTAGCTAGATAGCGCAGGTCTGGGTAGGTATCTGTCCTTTTTATCTCCTTTACCCTTAAGCTATCTGCTTTCCCTTTTGGTTGTTCTTCACTTCTGAAGCCACATCCTCAATGTTTGCACCATGTCTCCTTGCCTGAGCTGTATTGCTGATGTTTGCACCATCGCTCCTTCCCTGAACTGTATTCCTGATGTTTGCACTATTTCTTCTTGCCTGAGCTATATCACCAGTGTCTGCACCATGTCCCTTTGCCTGGTGTCTACGTTCTACTTTGCCTTTTCTCATGGATGCATGACCTTTGACATATCCTGGGAGGTAGGGGTAGGGGTGAGAAGTGGGAACTGATCATATTATTTTATTAATAATATGTTCTGCGTGGTTGGTGGTGATAGAATGAGGCATGGTCCATGCTACTTAGCATGCATTTAGTTTCTGGAAGCATCAACATTTTGAGATGGACACATTCTGCCCACCCTGATAATTTCTCAGTGAGCCATGGTCCAGATGCTTTAATCTTTTAAGCAAAATGTCACTGCATTTGCCTACAGTCTGCAGATCTAAAGAGGTCACCAATCAAACACACAGAGAAGCCAGACTAAGAAGCAAAAACAAGCAGTGCTTGAAATAAGATTGATCGAGATGTAAGATCAGAGGAAGCCCTTTTCGTCTAGCCAGAAAGGACCCTGCACCCTGCATCCTTTCTGATGTGAAATTCAAAGCCCAGAGATGTGTAGCACTCACTTCTGAGGCTGTGCTGTTTGCACCTGTGCTGCAGCATGTGGATTGCCACCAAATCACTTCAGATTCCATCAGCAGCTACTTTGAGAGAGATGTACTTACATTTACTAGAAGTGGCTTTTGGCACTTGAATTTCAATACATCTGATTTGATCGAAAGAAAGAGGAGCTGATGAAGCAAACCTTCTTAGGAGACAGAAGTACACCTTGTTACCCAGACATGATTTCTAAGGTCACTTCTTGACAAACGTGTTCAATTTTCAGATACCTTCTTAGTTTTCTATAAACACACAGGACTGCAAGGCCATTCCCAAAAGGCTCCTTTTTTAAGTTCTGAACAGCATGGTCAAAACCATTAAAATGGTAAACAGTTTTCTCCACTCATAAATGGATTCGGAGGCTACCTCATAAATGGATTCTGAGGCTACCTCAGAATTAGTCTTAGCCCACACGTAAGTTAGACAGTTACTGAAAGCTAATATGGTATTTTGAAAGTGTATTTTGTTAACAGGTATTTTTATTAAAGAACCTAACACACTGTGTAGGTTGCCACATTTTGTATCAGTGCAATAGCACATAATAATATGTCATGCCATGCAAAACCACCTACGATTCACTTAGAAGTTCACTCTTGCAAAGCTACTTCGGGAGTTGATATATTGAAAGCAAAGTCAATGTTTCAGGAAAAAGAAAAGTTGGGGACTATAGGCAGACTCCTTGGGATGATTCCCCACGAGGTATTTTACCCCCCGCCTAAGTTGTATTTCACGTGCTCAACCTTGCCTTGAAAAATTTGGTGAATAAACTAGAGGTGACAAGAGCCATTCATCAGGATAACAGCAAACATCATCCTAAAATTGAAGTTCTTCTAGAAAACAAAGATGACTTACACCATTTGCAGATCAATGTATTAAACCCTCATCTTTATGAACCTGTTCAGCTTGAGACAATCCTACAAGCCAAACTGTTTCATGGGGCTTTGGTCTGTTCCACATTTAATGCTCTGTCCAGTACCCCAAGCCACAGCTGAGCTGTAAATGGACATAGCATAGTAGTGTGGGAAGAACTCAGGATTTGGACTTGAGTTTAAATCCTAACTCAGCTACTTAATAGTGGGAAATCTTGGGCAAGAACCAAAATTTGAGTCTTGGTTTCTTCATCTGCTAGAAGGGGCTTATATTCTCCATAATGGTAACTGAGATAGTTTATGTTGAGTATCTAGCGCAGAGACAGACACTGAGTAATCAGCTTAAAATTCAGCTTAAAAAAAATATCTAGGTTCTGGAACAACATTGTTTGAGTTCAGCATCTGGCTCCACCACTTCCTGGCTATGTGACACTGCTGTGATTTTATAATTATTCTCTATCTTATTTTCTTCATTTGAAAAATAAGGATAAAAATAGTGTCCACCTCATAGGGTTATTATGTGAACTAAATAAAGTGATATATGTGAAGCTCTTAGCACTGTGTATAGCACATAGAAAGCACCTAATAGATGCTAGCTACCCTCATCATCACCATCACCATCATCATTATCATCATCATTATCATCATCACATATATCCAATTAATGCACGCTCCCCACTCTCTTGGATTTTATACATTTAGCTTTCATGTATAAGACCATTGGTTGGGAGGTTTTGCTTTGTACTTTGTCTTCAGATAATTAATTTTCAATATGTGTCACAACAGCTTTGGAAGGGAAAAAAAGAAAAAAGCCTGCTGCTTAGCTCTCTGGCTTGCCCCACCCCATAATCAGAATGGCCCTGGTTTGGGCCTCACACAGCTCACTGCCAAAAAATGGGCTGTCTTAGAATCACATGCAAGTCAAAATAAGTACCTCCCAGCTCCAGAGGAGGGCTGGACTGTAATCTTCGGTGAAGTAATTTTCTCCCTTTGAAAGCTTAGCCTGGCCACTTCACAGTTATCAAGATTCAAGTGCCAAGGGGCAGATGCCAGCTTTGCAGACATAGCCACTATGACACACATGGGGGACGTCTGGGAGAGCCATTCTGGGTCCCTCCATCGACAGCAGCACAAGACACATTTAATCTTTCCATCTCCATCCCATTCCCCCATCCACCCAACTGAAAATTTACTGACTGCAATTTCTTAGTGCCTTTCCAAACATTTGGAGAAGAGAGACCATGCAGGGAAAGTTATGTCCATGGCTTTATTTTTTCCCCTCTGCTTTCATATGGTTGGAAAGCAAGAGTCCTGTCTCTCTTATCACCCTTGCAACCATTATCACCAGCTGTTTTTTATTAGAAATACCTGCACAGTTCTGAGTAAGTAGGGATGACATCTGTTGATAAGCTAAAGCCATATCACACCATAGTAAGAGGAAACAGACGGACTCAATCCCCACAGGTGGAAGCTTCAGGGCCAATCTCAAACAGCAGTGCTGTTTTAGCAATAAAGGAAAGTATCTTCAATTACTTCACTTTTTTCCCCCTACCCTCCCATCTGGGAGAATCACGTGTCTTTGAAAGACTGGGTCAACAAGGGCAAAAAAGAACCAAAATAATATTATAATGACTGGTATGGGAATGGCAGGTAATTTATACTTCACTGATGTGTTGCTGGAGCAATTTTGAGGACGAAATGTTAGCTTTTGAGGAGATGAAAGAAAAATGAAAACATTTATTTGGTTAAATGGCTAAGTAAATAAACTGCCTATCAGACTTTCCCAGCTGTCAAGTCAGAGTAGCATCTGTAACAATGGGGAATTGTTTGGTCTGCCTCCCTTAGTAACAATAGATATTGCCATAAATAATAAGTTGCTGTCATTTTTTAATACTGATCTTCGTGGTGGGAATGCAAGACATATAACATATTACCTGATGGATTTCTAGTGTTCAAGGGAAAAGAAAGCTGAAACCTCAGATGCTTTGGGAAGACGAATCTTAAGAGAGTGAGAGAGGAAGAGAGAGAGAGAAAAAAAAGGAGGTAGGGAGGGAAGGGAAGAAAAGGAAAGAAAGGAAGAAACAAAACACAGAGTCAGGGGCCTTAGGTCTGATTTCTACTTCCAAAGCAGGTCACCTTAGGTAAGCATACATCCTTTCATATGGATAAATACAGATAATTGCAATAGCTCTCTCCCCAAGCTGTCCAAGAATCAAATAATATCATAAGTATGAAAGTGTTTTATAAGCTTTGAAAGTAAAGTACATGTATTTGGGATTATTATTACCATTCTCTTTTTAAATACAACCAAACAACAGACCCTTAAAATAAAGAACCACAAAACAACAGAAAATGACCTATTTTATGGACACAGAACTCAATGACAAGTCCAACCTAAGTTTTTGGAGGGCACAGTGTCCCACTTCCTTGGACCTTTATGAACAGACTCCCTGTCGAGGTCCTGTAGCTAGAAAGTGATGGCACTGGATCAGGCAGAAGATGACCAGGGTCTAGCTAAGGGCAGTGTCAGCCAAGACCTCAGGCATAGTGCCAAGAGATGTTTAAAAGCTGAAATCAACAGAAGGTTAAGACCGAAGAGACATGGGAGGTGAGGAAGAGGACATAAGGTAGGATGACACCCAGGTTCCTGGCATGGGGATCTACATGGTGCCAGTCACTGTGCTAAGGAACACAAGCAGCATGTTTGAGCAGAAAGAAGACAAGTTTACTTTGGGACCAACTGAACTCAAGGTGCCCATGAGACTTCCAAGTAGAGATGCCAGTAGGCTGCTGGATACAACCTCTGGAGATCAAAAGAGAAATCAAGGCTAGACATGGAGATTTCCATATGGGTTTCAGCCATTGGAGTAGTGAGTGCAAGTAGAATACACAGATCATCTAACCAGAAGTTGCCAAACTCTCTGTAAATATGTGTGCCTTGTGGGCCATACTGTCTCTATTACAGCTACTCTACCATTGTCACAGGAAAGCAGCAAAAGATGATACATAAATGAATGAATGTAGCTGTGTTCTAATAAGACTTTATTTACAAACACAGGCAGCTACCAGAATTGGCTAACAGAATTAGATCAGGCTCACTGTTTCTAGAACCACTGCAGAAGGTAATCATGATACCTTTCACTTACTAATAATAATAAGATATATTTTAAAATTACTAGCATCACCTAATTTAATCCTCACAGGAACACTCAGGTATTTTTATTATTCCCATTTCACAAATATTGCAGACAAGGTAGAGAGTTTAACAACTTGCTAAAATCCTGAGATTCACATGTAATAGCACCAGGATTTGAATCTAGACCCAGATTAAGTAATTCAAACACACTCAAACAGAATCAGGAAGGACACCTGGGTTTTAATAGCATCACATCAATTTAGCTGTGTGATATGAGGCAGATGGTTTCATTTCTGACCTTTGGTTTCCTTTTCTGTAAAACAGTTCCCACAGGTCCTTCCAGCTCTGACATTTTAAGACCATCTAACTTGCCCAAAGTCACCCAGCTACAGCATGGAACCAATCCCCAAATAAGATCTTCCAGCAGCATCTCTCCCTCAGGCTGTCTCTATTCCCATCTAACAAAGGAGAAGACAGAAATCCCTAAAATACGCTGACTTCATTAGGATCCCCAGAGACTATCAGTCCTAGATGCAACCTGCTCCCAGTAACCAGGAGCTTACTCAGAAAAGGCCTTCCTGCTTATGGTAGATAATTAGTGTCAGCAATTTCAGCGTCATCATCTGTTATATAACAAGGCCAAAAAAGATGATGTACATGTGCAAAACAGATCATTGATGCCCATCATTGTTGTTATTATTGACGGGGAAATAGAATGTTCTTCAGAACATGCACAGTTGCCTCGAAACTCAGGTGGTGCATCTCTGTATGCACCAAGCGGATTTCAGCACCCAAGACCCCAGGAACAAGGGCATTCGGCAGTGTCAATCCCTAAGGGATTATCATCAAATCCATTCAGTGTTTAGAAGACTTTTCTACCCTAACAGCCAGACTTTCAGACTCAAAGTGGCCAGAAAGCTTTGTTTTTCCTTTTGTTTGAATATAAAGAAAAAGAAGGCTGCCAGCATTTAAGATACTTCATGTTATACGAGCTCACTTGTAACTTGTCACAGTCCCATGAGGTAGATGTTATTCCCTCCACTTTACAAATGAAGGAACTGGGGTGCAGATAGGTGAGATGCTCGCCTAAGTTCATATCGGAAGTTAGGAGGATTTCTGGGGTCTTTCTGGCTCCCCAAACCCATGCATTTTTCCTGACCCTCCACATGGATTCAGATAGAACTTTGAGTTATTTTAGCCTTTTTCCCCTCTGACTACCAATACCTTTTTCATTTGTCAAGCCAAGGAATGTAAAACTCCCACTGAGCTAGTCCTAAGTTTTAGGGCTAAAAGACCATGAGGCTGAAGTTGCTGCCTGGGCAGGGTAATGCTGAGGGACTCAAGCTTTGACTCACCTTCCAGCTTTAGTCTGATCCTCAGCTTCGCTTGGCACTTTTCTTACCCTAGGCCCCCGGGATGGGGCATAAGTAGGCTCACTCAGCAAGCTGATTGCATGGCGCACCATCGACCTCACATCTGAGATCACCTTTGTCAGCATGCAGTGTCTTCGCTCCACTAGTAAGATGTATTGCTTTTGACATACTTTTGTCAAAGGTAGTCAATCTTTCCAAAAACAAATACAAGAAATATTAAATGGGCAGAAAGTAATCAGCACAATTTAGGTAGCTTCCAAGAGCGTCTTGTTATAATGTGACATAGGAAACCATTTGCCCTTATACTTCATGCCAAAGAGCTGGGGCTGGGAGAAGAAAGCAAGGAAACCAGCACAGAAATGGGAGTCTGAACCCTGAGCTGCTCCCTGGCTCTCCACTGTCTCCTGTATAGCTTTGGGAAAGTACCCCTTGTGTCTGGGGCTTCAGTTTCTTCATGCGGAAAAGGAGCTGTAGGTGTGAGGGCCCTTCCAGCTTCAACCTTCTATGAGAGGGAACACGTGGTAGTGGAGAGGATAGTAGGCTTAAAAAGACCTGAGTATGTTTACATGAAACTCTAGAAAAAACAAACCTAGTCTATAGCAATCAAAAGCAGATCAGAGCTGGCACTGAGATAGGGAGTTGACTGAGAAGGCACAAGAGAAGTCTTTAGGGTGAAGAAATGCTCTATAGCTGACATGGGTGTATATATTTGTCAAGTTCATTAAACTGTACATTTAAAATGGGTACATTTCATTGTATGTAAATTATACCTCACTGAAATTGATTTAAAAACAAGACTAGGTAAAATCGTGGAGATGGAAAGTAGATTAGACTAGGGCTGGGGATTTGGGGAATGAATGGGGAGTTAATTGCTTAATGGGTACAGAGTTTCTGTTTGGGGTGATGAAAGAGTTCTGGAAATGATGCTGATGGTTGCACAACATTGTGAATGTAATTAATGCTGCTGAATTGTACACTTAAACGTGGTTAAAATGGCAAAGGTTATGTTGTTTATGTTTCACCACAAATAAAAATCTAAAAAAGATTAAAAAAAAAAAGCAGTATGTCCCAGCTCTGCTGTGTGCTGGCTGAGTAACTGCACAGGTCACCCAACTGCAGGGAGCCCAGGTTTCTTTGCTGTAAAATGAAGACAGGAGCTCTAAAGGCACAGTCCTGGTGTGTAGCTCAAGTAAGACTATGTGACATTGGAAAGACCGTATATAAACTGTAAAAGTTTCTGTAGAGATATACCATTATTACTCCAGTTCTGTGAGTCCACTTGGCTGCTGTAGTCGAGCACATAATTCATAGATAGTTAAAGGACATGTGGAGTAGTCTGCAAACGGTGGAAGTTTCTGTTATCCACAGGGCCCTGCAGCCAGGTTGTTTGCATTAACTCCACATTCATTCTGCACAATTTTCCTAGGCTGGTCCAGCACCATTCTTTTATTAATAACTGAGAGCTCATCTGCAATTGCACCTATGTGCTATGAAGGAGAGGCCATTTGAAAAGAAACCCACAGGTGATTATTAGGCCTAAAACCATTGTCTATAAAGGGAGGATAAAGCCACACTCCCAGACATAAGGGACCTAATGTTTTTTGGAGTATCTCCTATGTTTCAGACTCTGTGCTAGACAATCAACATGTTTTCTCCTTCACAGAGGGTATTTCTAGCCTCATTTTACAGATGAGGAAACTGGCACCCAAAGACGTTAAGTACCCTGCACAGAATCCTAGGGCTGCTAAATGTGTGATGGTAAGAAAAAGAACAGCAGCCTCTGACAGTCAGGGGCAGGCCCACCCCCACAGCAAGGTGCTGGCATTCTCCTGTTGAACATCAACATTTCACATACCATCAGCATAAGGCAAGGCCACTTAGTGACCATGATAGGTCAAGACAAAATCAAGACCACCAGGTCATCATGGCTGAACACAGGCAAAACATGAACATTGTCAAAATTGGAAAACTGATCAAACATTTCTCTAGCCTGGTTTCAGCCTTGCTCTGTTCTTCTTGCCTTCCAGATAAGTATTGTTGGGATAATCACAGAATTACCCCCACATTATGACAGCATCCAATTCAGAGAAAAACCCCACTTTGTTGACCATCCCCAAAATTACTTACCTTAAGCCCAAATCTTGTGATACATTCTTTCTAACACCCTCTTTCAGAGATGCCTCATTGCTCCTCCCTCTGCGCTGAGGAATAACCCAACATGTTCAACTACAGATGTGTCCCTGGTGGTCTTTGCAGCAGATCATTGGCAGGAGAACACTAAGCTAGGCCTGCATGACTTAGTCTCCTGTGCTTTAGCTCTTTTACTGCACCTTCGAGAAAATTGGGTGTTTCACTTACAGAAAGGTTAGAGGGTGGATTTTGCTTTAGGTTTTACCATATGGTTTCCATCTACTCTGTTATCTAAAAATAAAGATATTAATATGTCAGAATCATATTAAAGTTCACAACTATTTGCCAACTTCCACTAAGAAGAGAACTGTTCATTTACTCACACATGTCTTCATTCTTCATGTTGTTAGTGGATGCACCTCCCATGTTCCAAGCTTCATTCAGAATTCGGGATACTGACATGCAAGGCCCAGTGGAGCTCAGTGTAGAACATGCTAGGAGATGCCATAGTAGGAGTGAAGACAGAGATCTGCACAGGTTCTGAAGCATCCAGGAGCACAGTGGCTCGTGTCACCTGCAGAGTCCAGGAAGCCTTGATATTTCAGCTAGGTCTTAAAGTATGAACTTTAGGAACAAAGAAGCCTCCGAAGCCAGAAGGAACTGCCTGAATGAAGTCTCAGAGATGGGAAAACTCCAGCATGTGAGGGTGAACCCCAAGTAGGGTTTGGAAGGTAGGGTGTAGGAGAGAGAGTGGCAGTAGGAGAGGCTGGTTGGGAAGGTGGGCATTATGTGCAGTCTTGAGGAGTTTGCCTTTTCCTTTGAGTGACAAGGAGCCAGGAGGGCTGTTTCAGGCAGGAGACTGGCATGGCCAAATCCATTTCAGAAAGATCATCCTGGAAAGACATAAAGAAAGATTTTTTTAACATCATTTACGTGACCTGAAGGTAGAGTTTTGATTCATGCTCTAGAAGGGGTATTTATTAGCTCTAATGGACTAAGAGACTAATGGGCCTTGTGTGCCCGGCGAAGGTGCTTTGACCTACCCTGTGGGTGATGGGGAGCCTCTGAAGGATTTGAAGCAGGGCAGAGACGTGGACAAATCTGCCAAAAGAAAACAAACAAACAAACAAAAACATCAACAGCATGTTATGTTAATGTGCGATTCCATTTAGGCTTTTGGAATTTTGAAAATAGCTCAAAGACCCCGTTATGACCTTGACAGAGGCCAGGTTGGAAATTTCTGAATCCAATGATTCTTTAGCTCCCCTCTAAGTCTGACAGTCTAAGATTCCATAATAAGGAAGGTACAGCTATTGCCAAAACGTATAATGCATCACAGTGTCAGACTTTGGGATTATCTGCTGCTGGGGGTTTTCCACACCACTGCTCCCCTTCATTAGTGGGGATAATTGAGAGTTGACTGCAGTCGTTACTGCTGTTGTGATGGGTATTTGAAGCTAAATTCGGGCAAGTAGGAGATGTGTGAATATTTATCTCAGCTGCAGAAACTTAATGCAGTGTGGCATTAATTACCCTGTCTGAGCCTGCTGTCTTCTTCTGTTTTTAGGTGTCATTTTCAGTTGGATAAATTAGTTTCCAAAATTAGAATAGAGCAAATTGTAGGGTGAGATCAAGGCAGCCTGACTTCTTGGGGCATCCAAAAAGAAGAATGAGCTGAGAACATCTATCCAGGAAACATTAATATGCGTGCTTGAAGCCCAGCACAGGCAAAAGGAAATATTTTTCCCCAGTAGTTGTACTTAACTATTTTTGACTCCACCTACTGCACTTGTAGAACACAAACACACAATAAAGTTACATGTTTAGCCTTACAACATGTATTTGAAATAGTTCAAGAGACTGGAAAGGAATAGATTTGGTGTTTAATAAATCATAATCTTACTATAGATTTTGCTACATTTGATTTTGAGAGAATAAAGCCAAATTGGAGTGTATTTAGGACAAAGGGATCAGAACTGTGAGGAAACTAGAAACAGCATTATAATCATTCAGTAATTCAACAGACTCTCATTGAGGACCTACTGTGCTAGGTTCATATTTGTAAAATGGCAGAAGGAGGCCTGGCGCGGTGGCTCACACCTGTAATCTCAGCACTTTGGGAGGCCGAGGTGGGCGGATCACAAGGTCAGGAAATTGAGACCATCCTGGCTGACACAGTGAAACCCTGTCTGTACTAAAAAATATAAAAAATTAGCCGGGCGTGGTGGTGGGCACCTGTAGTCCCAGCTACACGGGAGGCTGAGGCAGGAGAATGGTGTGAACCTGGGAGGCCAAGCTTGCAGTGAGCCGACATCGCGCCACTGCACTCTAGCCTGGGCGACAGAGTGAGACTCCATCTCAAAAAAAAAAAAAAAAAAAAAGGCAGAAGGAACTGGCAAGTGGTAACCTAGAAGTAGGACATGGAAGAATGGGCTTCCGTACTTTTCTGTCATCAGACATTTGGACGAAGGATTGTACTTATTTACATTTCCAAGGGCAGTAGAAAGTCTACGGGCAGAAGGCATGGAGGGACAAGTTGGCACTTTGTTACACTGCATAATAGGGTGCCTCCAAGGAAAGAAGTTCCTTCCCACTGGAAGAATACAAACATAACAAGTTCTAGAGGAACCAGAAATTGGATCTGATGGCAGGAGTCTTGGGGTCTACTCTTGGCATGGATACTAAGTAACCCTGTGACTCTGAAGAAACAAAAGCTGTCTTCACAGGACTTCAGATTCCTCATCTGTACAATGATGGGCCAGTACAACCTTATCTTCTAGGCCATTCCACTTTACAGTAGAAAGCAAGCAATATGATATGCTACACACAAGAGACAGCACAATGACCTTGAGATCACACAACCTTTCAGAACTTCAGTTTTTATCTGCAAAGGGAGGACTCAAAAAATAAAAGCCACCCTCAGGACTATAAGGCAGATAAATAAGACATGAGGTGCTTTGTAAACTCTGAAGCACCAATGGATGGAAAGATTGGGGTCTCTCTCTCTCTGTCTCTCCCTCCTCATGGTCACTGTTGTAAAAGATTAGAAAAAGCACTGGCCCCTGGACCCTGTTTTCAGTTCTCATGTCTCTAGACTTACTAGCTGTGTGACCATGGGCAAATTATCTAACTTCTCTGTGCTTAATTTCACCCTTGCAAAAGAGATAAAGCATCTGCCTTACAAGGCTGTTGTGATGAGATAAAAAGACAATGTACTTGAAAATACCTAGCATGGTGCCAGACACATGGTAGGGGCTCCCAGAATGCCAATTCATTTTGAAGTTTCAAGAAAAAAGCAAATAATAAGAACCTATATGACAAGGCAGGGGACAAGCTAATATATCAAATATGGTAAAATTAGGATTTCATTGTGCCCGTTTAATTCTGGCACAGACCTCCAAGAGTGACAGCATAAAGGTCAATTTTAACAGAAGGTCCTGTGCATGCTTAAAACCACAGTATCCATCAAATCTGCTTGGCCAAGGCACAATGAGCCATCTCAACATCAGCTGAAGTCTGACGGGGTTTAAATAGGGCCGAACGCTGTTTCCTATCTAGGTGTGGATTGCAGGTTTGCTGCATTACATGCTGGTTGAAAATCCCTGTATGTGTTTCAGGACAGCCCCCTGGGTGCAGGCAAATGACTGGCCAAAGTGGAGGGCTCAGACTGAATGGAAACAAGTCCAGAAGTTTGTGATTAAGAGACAAAGACACACTTGCTGTTTCTCTGGCTCAACAGTGCACCCAGGCATCACTATTTGTAGAAGAGCAATTTGAAATAGAATTTCAGGGTTCTCAAGTGGACATTTATGAAACTGTGTTGGAAAAATGTCCACTTGTCTCATGGTAATTGTTAGCAATTTCTGAAGATGTATTGCTAGCAAGCATTGTGCTAGATACTTTATATGTGTAATCTCTAATTCCCTCAAGAACCCCGTAGGATAAACAGTACTATTCCCATTTTGTGGTTGGAGAAACCAAGACTCAGGATAAGTATCTTGTCCACATGACACAGCTTTTCTAACTCTCCCTACTATACCATGCTACTTCCCTAACAGGGCAATCAGTTCCAACTTGAAAACGAAAGACAGAACTGAGTGCATAGCTATTTTGGATAATAAAAATGTTGCCAAAATGTTATGCACCCTGATCAAATACTCCAAAAATAACCTAAGGTCATCCATCATAAACTGTCACTTTTCTGTTTTAATCCTAAACCCCTTTTCCCAAAGCTGTCTCAGAAAATCCATGCAAGTGTAAAGAGCAGGCCTCACTTTGTTCCTTTATCCACAGGAGCCAGAGCCTCTGTACGCGCAGATCAACAGACCTAAGAAATAGCATCGATGCGAGCTCGTGGTGGGTGCTCAAGACTGGCATGGACATCAGCATCACGACAGGCTCTCTTGTATTCTTTCACCTCTTCCCACAAGAAATTCATGATTGCCCAATGGAACTCGCTCAGAAGAGGGAACTAAGCATTTTTGGCAACCAATGGCAGATATCTATGGCAGCACACAAAAAAAGTATAGAAAGATCCACCCAACATTAAATCAGAAATCAAGCAAATGCTTACCCAACAAATATTTGAGCCCTCATAGCTGGGTTTAAGATGACTCAGTGTGCAAAATTATTAATTCCCTTTTTATTTCTCTACCTGTTGACCACTGTTGAGACACCAAATTTGGAGTGACAGGCATCAGAGGATTACAACAGGGTTGGAACTGACTTCTTTAAGCAAAAGCAAAGGGTCTTCTGTGACCACAATATCGTCATCCATATGCCTTTTCACATAGGATGATGTGTTTTTTGTCACTCCATGGGGCCTGGTCTGCCATTTTCCCCCCTTTCCTTTTTTTGTCATGTTTGAAAATTAATAGGTGTACAAATTTTTGTATTGCTTTTGACTTTTTTTAGATATGGGTGAAGAAATCTAACTGGGGAGAAAAAAAGCCTCAGTGAAATGAATTAACTTGAAATTACAAGACAAATAAGTGGTTGATTATTCATTATGATCACGAATGTTGCCAAAACAGTCCTTTAGCTATTCTGCATCCTGGTGAAGAAAGACAGCTTTCAGTACGAACCTTCATTCTGTGAGTAGGAAAAGACATCAGATCCCATTGATGAGAAAGATGAAAAATGCATCTGATTTCTTAAGAAGCTCTAAACTCTAAGTACAATAAAATGATATTTTTTATTTTTCCGATATCTTGCTGCTGTGTTGCTATGCAGACAAGTGTCTTCTCCACGTGCCATTTTCAAAGAAAAGTCATTTGCCAAATAATTCTGGTACAATTCTGGTAATGTGGTTTTGGATCTTAAAAACCAACTTTCTAATGGAACAATGGTGGCATAAATATTCAGAATAACAAACTGATTCTGTGGTCCAAATGGTTCATCTCTATCTCTTTTTGTACATCAGAAAATTCAAATGGGATTTTTATTTTATAACTTGAAAAAAAAACCTTACCATTAAACTCTTTAAATATTTAAGGGAAATGGCTTTAAGGAGTTCTAATGAAAAAAAATTGTCTTTTTTTTGTAAATATAAATGTTAATGAAAATGATTTTTAATAATGCCATTACACTGTAGAGAAGGTAGCAGATTGAGTGCAAGGTGTGACAAACTTGATGGATGGGGCTCACTTTCCAGACGTTATTCTGGAGCATATGGTAGGAAGCTGGAGTGCAGGGACAGCTGGCAGGAGCAGTTGGCCAATCAGCAGCTAGTGAACGGGAAGGGAGCACGTGACTCCATCATCTAGCCTTTCCACGAGAGTCCCCACCCTACGTGCAACACAAGAAAAAGACAATTCACATTCTGAAGAATTCAGATTCTGAAACTCTCCCACCTCCCCACTCCCACCTACCCCCGATATAAATCACTGGACTGTTTGTACGTGAAACAGAAGAGGCTAAGCTTCCTTTTTTTACACTTATGAGACAAAAAGTGCAGTGTTTGGTTCGTATGTTTAGCACATGATTTTCATAAAGAATCTATATATTTTTGCCCTACAGAGAATTGTTATACAGGTCAAGTGTGTTTTCCTGATGTTCCTATGCAGTTACAGTATGTTGAAAGTGTTTTAACACTAAGAAGAAAACTTTAAAGATTCATGTGATTAATTGGATTTGAGGATAATTATTATTATTTGGTTTTTAGATTTGAAAAGTAGAATTTCCATTGAGACAATTGATTTGAATAGGCCTGCATTTGATTCTTCATATCAATAGAAACTAAAATGATTTGGGAGATTCATTTGAAAAATGATTGTATACTTGTTCACAAAGCGAAAAGTGATACATGAAGGTAATGGTTATCATTTAAAGCCCACATTTTACACTATCAGGTCACAGGAGTCTAATTTTTTTTTCAGTTAGATAAACTGACCAAACGTCTATTCAAGAATATATGTCAATATCATCCTAATGTGGAAGGTCCGAAGAACCAGAAAAGTGAGAAGGGCCGTTTACCTCCCTCTGTAGCTATCACCTGTTGGTCCACAGAGTTTCTTGAGAAATGAGCAAACATTTTATGATTAGGTAACCCTTTCACATGAACGGGAAGATGGGAAAGGTGGAATGACCATAAGAGTTGGCCTGAGACCAGTTTGTTTTCTGGGGATTTGGTAAGATAGGCAGTTCCCATGGGAAATTGCTTAAATTGCTTTGTTGCCTATGATTTGATTCTAAACAAGTGGTGCTATCTTCTCCCTCAATATGGCTGTCTTGAGTTTGTCTTGCAGTATCACACCATTATACCAATTCTTTGGGTTGCTTCTGACACATTCAAAGTGAACTCTGGCTGATGTTGCTGTTTCAGGTATACCATCTGGAGTTAATTTCCTAGCAGAAGGTGAAAGTCCAGGAGAATTGTCCTCTTTCATTGAACATGATTGAAAATGTAACTGGCTCTGAACTTCAAGAAGATAGATGCCCAAGTGATGCATTAAAGTAAGGGAAATAAAGTCAAGTTTTTCAACTGCCATCCATATTCTCATTGGCAGAATTCTGATTTTTTTCCAAGCACTGTTTGGTGAGCCTGGAAGCACCGTATCCTGTCCCAGGAGTACAGTGAAATTTCCAAGCAAGAGCTGAGGTGCCAATACCAAAAGACCATGGGGAGTCTGCACGGTTCTGGTTAGATCAATAGAAAATCCATGTGTACAACTGTTAATTCCTCATCCTCCACTAGCACTAAATTTGTCACTTTAAATTTTGAAACCAGGGAAACACCACCTGTCATTCTGTCCCCATTCTCCATAGCTCTTCAATCTTTACATGCCGCAAGACTTTTTTGATAGCTCGTACTCATCCCAGTGTCTCCTGAAACCCCATCATGTAATGTACTGGGCACCTTCTTTTAAACAAATGTTTACTCTGTGGGTTTGGTTCATTTCAATTTCTGCGTTCTGACACATATTTTTTTAATAAAGATGAGAAAGAGAAAATGACTGTTGCAGTACCTTTCTAGACCTACTTTAACTTTACCTCAGATGACAGTTTGTTAACATATATGGACACATTATTTTTAACTTTATGTACAATGCATTCAACAGAACAGCAAAATTTTTAGAAATTTTCCATTAATTTCTGTAACACACCATGTAAAACTGTTACAAATAAACATGTTTGAGAACAACACTTTAGCCTGGCTTTATTCTACAAGTTTCCACTGGATATTCAGGCTTGGATCGGAAGAGGAAATTGCTTTACCTAAGATTCCATCTGACCAAGTGACAGCCTGTGTTTCCCTGGCCCTGAGCTAAAAAGAGCAAGCTTTATTGGGGAGTAAGGTCAATTTGTCAGCCCTCAGTTGAATTCAAGTGCTTGCTATGCTTGGAAAAGCAGCCCCAGACAGGAAGGAGGATGTTGTCAGAAAAAAAGCAAACCCTGGGTAGATGTGGTATTTGGACCACATTTAGCATGAGACGTTCAAAACTGGGAAAGACTCTGGGACTAGCCCTGTGGATTGTGTCTTCCCCTAAAACAAAACAAAAAAAACCTATTAAACTATTGATTGGAAAACCGAGATTAATCTAGACTGTCAAAGAGTTCCCCATCGTTCATTTTAAGGTCATCTGCTTTAAGGGACTCAAGAAGGAAGCATTTATCTTTCTTTACATTCCCCTCAAAATCCACACCAAAATAAAAAGGCCTGAAGCTGGATTGTATGTATTGAAGAACAGAAAAAAATGAATATATGTAGGTGTTGTGTACATATTTATGTATGCGTGTGTGTGTGTGTGTGTGTGATTTTTATTTCCTTTTGTAACTAAATCAAATAATTAGCCAGATTACAATTAGGTCATTGAGATGCGAAAAACCACCACTGTTTAAGAATGGTTTTGTTAATGACTGCATAAACACAAGCCCTCAATCTGGCCTTGTTACAAAGAAGGTATTAAACAGATGTTATTGCTAACTTTGAGAAAATGAGAAAATGGGCTTAGATTCTAGCAAAGTACATTTGGAGCAGATAGAAGAAACAATTTCCATACAGTTAGAAATGCTAAATCCTGGACTGAATTGTTAGAAAATGTTGCAGAAGTTTTTGTTTTCATTTTTGTTTTGTTTTGGTTGAAACAGGGTTTCACTCTGTTGCCCAGGCTGGAGTGCAGTGGTGTGATCTTTGTTCATTGCAACCTCTGCCTCCTAGGCCCAAACAATCCTCTCGCCTCAGCCCTCCAAATAGCTGGGACTACAGACACGCACCACCATGCCTGGCTAATTTTTGTATTTTTTTGTGGAGATAGGGTTTCACTGTGCTGCTCAAGCTGGTCTCAGATTCCGGAGATCAAGCGATCCACAGGCCTCAGCCTTCCAAAGTGCTAGAATTACAGGCAAGAGCCACCGCAGCAAGCCAGAAGTTTTTCTTAATAAAAACAGTGACTTGCACATGTTGAACAGCTAGTATGTGCCAGGCAGGTGCTAGCTGCTCTATGTCCATTGCCTCAGCTAATTTTCTAAACAACCTGGAAGGGGTAGATATTATCCCAATTTATAGATAAAGAAACTGAGATTCAGGTAAATTAAGTAACTTCCCCAGCCAGCAAATGGCAGAGTTGAGATTTGAATATTGGGTCTCTTTACTCATACTTGAGTCTAATTTTAAAATAATTGGATATTCACTGTTTGAAATAGTTCTACCTAGGTTTTTTGAAAAACATTGACCTTCTGTGTCTCTTCTCAGACTGCTAGTGGATCTTTGGTAATAAGTTAAATTTCTAAGTTCCTCCCATTCAAAGTAAAAATTAAAATCCATTAGATGTTACTGTCTTACACTGCTAAATACATAGTTCCATCTTTAACCGGCACCTTTCAAAGCTTGTGTGTCTGAGTGATAAAGAATAAACTGTTTTACCCAACTCGTTGAAGTTTAGCTGAAACCAAGCACTGGGGATTTACTTTGCCAACCTAAATGAATCTTAAAGAAGTGACAAATTAAAAGGTGTCCTATTTAACTGCTAGGTGGATGCCAAAATAAATGAGGCAGACATATCTGCTTTCATTTTGTGCTTGAGAGTAAGCCCTTGTTGTTTTGACAGTAAATGTTTTTTGTTTTACTCAGAATGACAGTCGGAAAAACACCTAGAATAAAAACAGGTTTCATTGAAATCAACCTTCAAAGCTTTGAAAGCTTTTAAAAGAAGTTTAAATTCAAGGGAAATGTGAGCAATGGTGCCTGGAAGATTAAAAAGAGAGAGAAAGTAAACAGATGTGAATGGCTTTCCAGCCATTTCGTGACCGGTCTGGGTATGTATGTGAAAACGGGAATAATCACTGCCACCGTTGTGCTCCTGCTTTGTCCGTGCCACTCATTTTCTAGCTACTGTTTCCAAATCTTTACACGAACCCCAAGAGGAAAAGAATATGCTCTCCATGTCACAGGTTAGGAAACGGAAACTCAGATGTGTTCCACAACAGCTATCAATTAACAGAGCCAAAGATCTCACCCAGAGGCTGTCACAGTTCCCGGGGCTGGATTCCGGGCCTCTTTCCTCTATTCCATGGTGCTTCTTTCTGACAGGTTTTCTGCGACGTCAAATTGCTCGTATACCCTCTATAAAATACTTTGAGCCCTTCTGTATTCATTTCCCTGTTGTGTCTATTATATTAGAAAAATCACACCATGCGTTACCCTGATCAATTCAGTACAGAAATGGATTCTTACATAAAATGACCGTAGTTATTTAAAACAAAGGAAAAATCCAGTTTTATTCTCAAGAACAGTAATAGCTCTAACTCAATCCAATGAATATTTAATTTCATAACAAAACCCTTTCATTCACTTTATCTTCCAAGGTACAGAGATCTGAAGAGGGAGGCTTTTTGAACAGGCTTTCTTTTTACTCTTTGCTGAAGAATATTAATGACTGCCAAGTGGAAAAATGTCTAAATATTCTTGCGAGATGGCAGCCTCTGGTGACTTGGGTCTTTAATCTTCCGAACAACCTCTTGCCACTTCTATCACTCACTCGGGGGGATCACAGCTTGGAGTGGGGAGCAAGCAGGAATGGTTGGAGATGGAAGAAGCAGGTCTTAGAGCTGGCATACTGTCAACACTAAAATGCCACATGCCCTTCATACTGTACCTTTAGCAACTCTACCTTATCTCACCTTTGGAGTGAAATGGTGGGAGAGGTGAACTCTGAAGTCTATCTTATTTCAGATTACAGGTCAAAGTCATTCACGTGTAGCTCAGGGCCATGAGATCAAAAATCTAGCAACTTAGTTACTAAAGAAAAGCTGTTTCCTTTTTACCTGTCTTGTGCCCTTTCAGACCTTCATAGAAGGAAGAAGAAAGGTGGTCAACCATCACACAGCCCATATTTATCCTTTTAGGATAAAGCAACATGGTGTAGACTAAAAATAAGGAAACCCTAACTCAGTGATTAGTCCCACTTTCATCAGAAGAAAGACAAATGATGCAAAAGTCAAGGAGGCAGATAATCGTTTTCTTTCTTCCTGGTGGGCGCTAAACTTAAGCAAAACCTGAGAAGCAGGGTATGTAACCAAATCTTCACCCTGGGCTTATTGTTCGTTGCTTTTCTCATTTAAGTGGAGCACACTATCTTCACTGGTGAGTCGATATAGAATAGTTTCCACATAGTGGACCCTGATTTCAGAAAGTCTTTGACTTGCCAGTTGTTTCACCTCAGACAAGTCACTTAAACTGTCTAAAATTTCATTTACTCACCTAAAATTGCAGCTATTATAAGAAATAAATTTGATAATTTCATGCCTGGAACATAGTAAACGCTCAATGCATGTTACCTGTTGTTAATATCAAAGAAAGTCTAATCACTATTATGGATTTTTGTATTTAATTCTTTCACTTTCACCTTGCCCATCTATTATCCCAGCTCAGTAACTCTATCAGGTGTGAAGAAGGGCAGTAAGTGATATTATCTCTATTTTATTGTCAAAGAACGGCAAAGAAGTATACACAAACAGCATCCAAATTTTCTTCCCTGGCAAAGTTTAAAGCAAAAATGCATTATGGACTTTTTCATATAACAAAGAGTTATTAACAATGTGCTATGTGCCAGGTCTTCTGATGAGCACTGGAGATTGAAGATTTTTTTAAGATGCATACATGACTGTCCCTGCTTCAAGAAGCTCAGATTCTAGAGGGGAAAATAGGTTAATAGACAAGTAAACTGTAGTAGAATTAATGCTGGAATAAAGGATGTGCTAATACTATGGGAGTGGTGGGAGAGTGCTCTATGGAAGTGTTGATGGTTAAACTGGGCTAACAGTGAAACCCCGTCTCTACTAAAAATACAAAAAATTAGCCAGGCGTGGTTGCAGGCGCCTGTAGTCCCAGCTACTCGGGAGGCTGAGGCAGGAGAATGGCCTGAACCCGGGAGGCGGAGCTTGCAGTGATGCAGTGAGCCGAGATCGCGCCACTGCACTCTAGCCTGGGTGACAGAGCGAGACTCCGTCTCAAAAAAAAAAAAAAAAAAAAAAAAGAAGTAAGTAGGAGTTTACCATAAGGTGATGGTAGTGGGGGGAAGAGCATTAGCTAGCAGGGCCAGTGCACATGATATGCCTGGAGTGGCTGTAAAGGAAGACAGAAAATAATGCTCATTTAACTGTCGAACAACAGAAAAAAAAATTTCTCAATTCATATATCAAATCTAGAATAACAAAACATCAAAAAAATACAAATTATAGCCTAATCTTTTCAATGGATAATCAGAAGTTCCTACATTTTAAACATAGCTGTAAACCATGACTAAATAAAGTTGACTTTCAGAATGTAATTAATAGCTCAAGAGAGACTGTCTCATCTTAATGGATGCCAAAAAGGCATCTGATAAAATTCATTATCCTCTTCAAGAAAAAAAACTGGAAACTAGAATTATAGTAATATTCCCTTCACATAGTAAAGAACATCTTCCTCAAACCAATAGCCAATATGAAACTTAGCAGTGAAAATTGAGGGTAGCCCTGCTAAAATCAGATGGAGATCAAGGTGGCAGCTACTACCTCTATCATTTAACATTGCTCTGAAATTTGAGGCAATGCAATGCACTAACGCAAGAAAAAGAAATCAAGTGTTTAAAATGAGAACATTATCAGTGTTTGCAGATAATATTTTCTAACAGGAAATATCTATTAGAAGGGATAAGAACAAATAAGAGAATTACCTAAGGTTGCTACTTTAAAAATAAATATATAAAAATCAATATTTTTTATATTGCCATAAGTAACCTTATAGAAAACCTACTGGAAACTTACACAGATTCCATTAATGATAGTAACAAAAGGAGAATACCCAAGAATAAATTTAATACTGAAGATTTAAGAGCTAGATTAAAAAAAAAACCAACAAAACAAAGCTACAAAGGCTTGTTGAAGGGCATAAAGTAATAGAACAAATTGAAAGAGAAGGTCCAACTCTCTCAAATTAATTTATAACTTACTGCAACAAGTATCTCAATTTTATAATATATCTTCAATCATGTATTCATATTCAATCATATTCTAAGTCATATCTGAAAGAGATAAGAATGTGAGATTATTTGAGGAAAAAAATTCAATGTCATGATCATAAACTTATACTATCAGATCAGATCTCAAAAATAAACCCAAAATAATTTAAAGTGTTTGCTTTCACAAATTATTCTGTGATTTATTCTATTTACCTAGTCATGGTTTACAGAATATAAAGTACAGAAATAAACTCAAGAAATTAATTTATGATTGAATATATTCTAATTAGCAGGGATAAAATATACTATTCAATAAATGGATCTAGGATAACAAAGACTACTAGAAAATGTTAGATTTCTACCTTATACCTTATGGGTAATTAAATTCCATATAAGTTAAACATATGTAAACACGAAAGTGTATGGGAAAATATTAATGAATATTCATATGGGGTAGAAAAGGTCCTTATAAGTATACCACCAAATGCAGAAAATAAATATTTATAAAAATATGAATAGGTTTACCAAAAATTGATATAAAAAAAGAAATTAAAAGACCATGGGAAATTAGGAAAATATTTACAGCATATATTATAAACAAAGCTTTATTGTTCTAAATGTACAGAAAGCTCCTAATAGCTTTATAGAAAAAGTTTATAGCAAAATTAGTAAAGAGCATGAGCAAACAATTCCTGAAGAAGAAACGTCCATAAATAATAGCCAGAGACATAAAGCCCCTAAATGTTTCATCAATAGGAAGGATATTAACTAAATTACCGTACTATGCAGCATTTTTCAAAAAGTGAAAGGAGTCTAAATATGTTTATATGGAACAATATCGAGACATTTAAGAATAGTGTGTGTGGTGAGTTCCCATTTTTGTTAATAATATAAAAAGGATTAAAAAGTATGCATGTAGGTGTTTATGTTTACATAGAAAATTTTCATTACTCTATTCAGGAAAGTGCTTATTTATTTAATAAGCATCCAATGAGTACCTGTTGTGTGCCAGCCATCATTCTACACGCTGGGAAAACAAAGCCCTTGCCCTCATGCAGTCATGTTAAGCACATGCTAACTAGAGAGTTCAGCTCCAGAGATGGGGTGTAGGAGCCTGGGGTGGGAGAAAACAAACTTACCATCTATACCTCAGTATGCTATTTGAAATGTTATGTTACTACCTACTTTCTGTTTCCAATATTTTTAATTAGCCCAAAAGCATTTTAATGTACCAATTTTTATAATCAAAAATTCAAGTTAAAACAAGATAACTTTTGCCTATCAGATGACCAATAATTTTAAAAGTGATTATCTGTGTTGGTGAGGCTATGAGGAAAAAGGCACTCAAACAACTTCGAGTGTTTGATTCAAAGATTTTTAAGTCAATTACTTTTAAAAGGACATAATATTCAACATGACAATTCCATGTATAAGACTGGAATTTAAAACATGGGAATTTCCGTCGTAGTGAACGAATATGTATTAAGATGTTCACTTTTTATATATATAACAGAGAAAAACTAGAAGTCTAAATTTCAAATAATATAAAACTAGCTAAATATTATATTTGTAGAATAGGATGCTATGACTATATAATCACTGATATACTCCTTGAAGACAGAGACCATGTCTCTTATATTTATTTTCCACATCAATCAATCAGTGTAATTTTATGAATGTTTATGAATGCAGCCATTACAATGTTACAGAACCTATTTTACCCCATTGTTTTTCAGACTGTTTTTCAGTAATCATTCAATATAACAAAGTGTAAAATCAAGCCGGATGCAGTGGCTCACTCCCGTAATCCTGGCACTTTGGGAGGCCAAGGCAGGCAGATCACATGAGGCCAGGAGTTTAAGACCAGCCTGGCCAACATGATGAAACCCTGTCTCTACTAAAAATACAAAAATTACCTGGGTGTGGTGGCGCATGCCTGTAGTCCCGGCTACTCAGGAGGCTGAGGTATGAGGATCTCTTGAACTCGGGAAGCAGAAGTTGCAGTGAGCCAAGATAGCACGCCTGCACTCCAGCCTGGGTGACAGAGCGAGACCCTGTCAAAAAAAAAAAGTATACAATCATGTATACATTACATTTCTAATTTGGTTGGGTAAATGTACATACTCACATATAAGCATAGAAAAAAAACTGTAAAAATCCAGGTAGTAGGATTACATATGATTTCCATTTTATTCTGTGCACTGAAATTTTTTATTTTGTTTTCCTGTTTCTCTCTTTTTAATTTAATTTAGTTTAATTTTAAGTTCCGGGATACATGTGCAATGTTGTCCTGTTTCTCTATACTGAATAGCTATCCTTTTTTTAGTCAGAAAAAAATAAATGTTGTTTTAAGAACCAACAACACTTTTGTTATTAAGAAAACATAAAAAGAACTGGTAGTAAGGAGAAGGTGGGAAAGAACAGCCTTGGTGGAAAGGGGAAAATGTGAATGATAGATAGAGATAACTGTGAGCTGCCTAAGGGGTGGACTCCTGGACTAGTAATGCAGAGGTGAAGAGATACAAGGGGCTTGTCACAGGCCAAATAGCTATGGCTACGGGGAGGGGACAACTAGGTCTGGCCTTGCCCAGCAAGGAGTCAGGCTGTGATTTCTAGGGGACTAAGGACTGATTTGAAGCAGAACTGCAGCACACAGAGAAGGGGTTTGGTCCCAAAAAGCTTGTTAGAACCCCAGGCAGACCCATTGGCACCCTGGGGAGGACATCCTGCTGCATTGGAGTGGACATCACCTACTGGAATTGAAACATGGTTCCTAAGAATGGGCTCTCATGGCCAGGATCCAAAAGGAAGGCCATGGTTCCACAAGGAGACCTGTTCTGAGTCGAGATGATAAAGCTATCTCCAAACCCCACCTGCTGGGACAATGCTATCTCCAAACCCCACCTTTAGACCAAGGTGATGAAATGCTATGCAGATGTCATAATAATAGGAAGTATTTGTTGAGCTTTTAATTTGTATTAAACACCATGTGAGATGCTTTACTTAGATTGTCTCAGTTCATCCTCACAACAGCCCTGTAAGGTTTAAACTATTATTGTTCCCACTTTACAAGAATGGCACCGAGGCTTAGAGAGAAAGCTCACAGGTCACAGAAGCTGCACTTGGAAGGGCTAAAATTCACATCCAGAGTCTGACTCTAGAACTCAGGTTCTTAATCATTACTCCAAGTTGACTCCTTAATTAGGACCAGAAGTTACTCATTGAACTAGAAGAGGTTGTTTGGTGACAGTGGGCAATGTGTGTTGGAGAAAAAGGAAGAGGATTTGGGATCAAAAACAAAACTGACAAGCACTTAAGCAATTTCTCTCTCTAAGCTTCAAACTACACTGATAAAGCAGTCAGTGGAATTCCATCAATCCCCTCCTCAAAGAGAGTTTGATCTTTGGACAAGGTTTGAATGACACACTCTCATCCTTAAACAGGCACAAAGAGACCATCAGAAAAAAACCAAGCACCCTGCACTTTATGCATTCTTCAAAAGAGATGTGAAAACGGGTTGGGCAAGACCAGACCCTTGCGTACCTTACACAGCCAATGACTTTACTAACTCAGGAGACACACAAAACTCAGCTCTGAAAAACAGAGGCATTTTAGAGATCATGGCCATCAGTGAGTTGGAGGAGGAAGAAGGCCCAGAGATTTCTACTCCCAATCACTCACAATCTGCCTTTCTTCTCAAAATTATAGCACCATCATTGCCAACCTCACCTCACCCATGAAAGCCATGCTGTGATCAAAGGAAGCATATCTTTGTCAATCTACAAAGCCTATTGTTTATAATTTACAACTTGCAAAGGAACAACAGCATGTTTATTTAGTATACACCCTTTATTTTAGTAAACATAAAAATTAAAAAGTTTAGACAATATAAAATATAGGCCTGGTGTGGTGGCTCATGCCTGTAAACCCAGCACTTTGGAAGGCTTGAAGTCAGGAGTTTGTGACCAGCCTGGCGAACATGGTGAAACCCCATCTCTACTAAAAATACAAAAATTAGCCAGGCGTGGTGGCATGCACCTATAGCCCCAGCTACTCGGGAGGCTGAGGCAGGAGAATCACTTGAACCTGGGATGTGGAGGTTTCAGTGAGCCGAGATCATGCCACTGCACTCCAGCGTGGGCAAAAAGAGCGAAACTCCATCTAAAAAAAAAAAAAAAAAAACCAAAGAAAGAAAGAAAGAAAAAGAAAATATAAAATTCATAGATATAAAACTTTCATGTCTGCTTCTATGCTTCTAACCTTACTGTGCCAACCCTATTTTTCCATTAGTTTTAAAAAATGTATTTTTAATTACACCATGACCATAAACACATTCTTAATATAACAATATTACAGAGAAAACCAATTGTTGACCATGCCATTTTATCCTAGTTTCTTTCCCAGAGACAAACAATTATCCATTCAGTGTGCCCTTCCAGATTCTCCTAGGTATTTACATTCACAAAAGTTTACTACAGACATACATAGTTTTTGTTTTATAGGTGTTTGCTTTTTAAAAAATATAAATAATAGTATGCAATGCATACAACTTGTTTTCTTTCACTGAACCATTGATTTGAAAGATCATCTTTCATGCACACATAGATCAACATAGATCAACATGTGTGTACATGAAATTTAGGTACAATATTCCTACAGGAAAGTACAGGGATTCCAGTTCTATCACTTAGTAGCTCTGAGACATTGGGTGAGTTAACTTCTCAGAGCTGCCGTAGCCTCATCTGTAAAATTGAGATGAGGTTAGCACTGTAATTAGGCATAAATGGGCTAGCAATTATAAAGTGCCTAGCACATGGTAAATTCTAAATTTGTGCTTGTTAAATATCAATAAAATGCCTGAGGTCCAGCGCTGGTGAGGAGCACAGGGAGATCTGCTCTCATGCCCACCCACCTGGCTGCTGGCACTCCTTACACTCCCTTGTGACCCTCTCTAAGAAGCAGCAGTGACCACCAATCCCACCTCCATATGCAGAAGCAGAGGCCCAGTAGAGGAGAAGTGGCTGGAAATTTGGTTATGAAACGAGTTTCTGTGACCCTCTCCTTTTCTCCCTTCCAAGGCTCTGTCTGGGCCAATACACATGGCTGGGTTCTCAACCTTACCCTTTCTTACTACCCCAAACTCTCTAGGTGTCTCCATTGCAAGGAAGAGTGGGTGGGTGAAGAATCGCAGCCTTCCTCCTGTGGAGACAGGCTATCCTCATGGGGCAAAGGACAGAGTATTGCCTGAAGTCTGTTGGGTCCCTGCCATCCATGCCTCCTCCCTACTTTTACAGGTGGATTCTGATAATCCCACCTTAGCCATGCTTATCCCTTAGCCTCTCTTCTTCATCCCCGCTAGCACTGCAGAACAAGCCTCCTAAGAGGTCGCCTTGTCTTTGCCCTTTGAAATGCATCTTAAGCAGTGTCTGAGAAACACAGCTTTGCTCATCTACTCTGCTCTTCTAAGACCCTCCTTGGCTCCACGTTACCTGTAGAACTGAGCCTGGGTGAGTCTGATATTTCCACCCAGGTATTCAAATAGACAAGGAGGAATTAAACTACAGTAAGTGGTGAATTTTCTGGAATGTCATCATAAAGATGTACTCTGAGCAGTTACTGGCTCTCCTCCTTAGATGTCTCGGAAGCCTTGATAGGCTTTCTTGTCCAAACGGGGAGTTGGAGAGGGGTTTGGGAACACTTCGTAGGTCTCTTCTTCCCCCACCCTATCTTTAGCTGCCAATAGCACTACCCTGTGCAGCTGAGCCAGTTCTGACCACAGAGCTGGTTGTTAGCAATCTTATCCTCCCTAGCAGGTGGGGTTTGGAGATAGCTTTGTCATCTCGACTCAGAACAGGTCTCCTCGTGGAACCACAGCCTTCCTTTTGGATCCTGGCCATGAGAGCCCATTCTTAGGAACCATGTTTCAATTCCAATAGGTGATGTCCACTCCGATGCTACAGGATGTCCTCCCCAGGGTGCCAATGGGTCTTCCTGAGGTTCTGACAAGCTTTTTGGCAGCAGGCCTCTTCTCTGTGTGGCACTGGATCATCTCCCTGTCTTATCAGGCTGCAGTTCTGCTTCAAATCAGTCCTTAGTCCCCCAGAAATCACAGCCTGACTCCTTGCTGGGCAAGGCCAGACCTAGTTGTCCCCTCCCCGTAGCCATAGCTATTTGGCCTGTGACAAGCTCCGTGTATCTCTTCATCTCTGCACAGCTAGTCCAGGAGTCCATCCTTTAGGCAGCTCACAATTATCTCTATCTATCATTCGCATTTTCCCCTTTCCACCAAGCCTGTTCTTTCCCACCTTCTCCTTACAGCTATATGTCTATATATATATATATATATGTCTATATATATATATATATATGTCTATATATATATATATATGTCTATATATATATGTCTATATATATATGTCTATATATATATATGTCTATATATATATGTCTATATATATATATGATGGTATTTAGGGTGGGGAGTTAGCATATCTACATTCTTCTTCATTTTCTCACAAGACCCCTGTAATATGGGCATTCTCATCCCCATTTTATAAAGCAAGAAACTGAAGCTCAAAAGTGGTAAAACACCCTCTCCAGATAAATGGTACAGCCAGATCCCTGTACTCACAGATACCAAAGTTCTGGTTCTTTTGCTATTCCATGCTTTCTGGAGAACGTAAGGGAGAAGTGACTGTCCCCTCATTTTCACCTGCAATCCACTTGGCTTTAGGAAGCTCCTGGGCCATGTTCTGGTATCATACCTTGCCCAGCTCTTTTGAGAGTTACCTAACCAGAGGATGGGAAATGCTTGGCCAATATCAGTTATGTTAACGGCTGAGATTCAACACAAATAATAATATGTTATCTCAGTAGAAACACCTGGCTTATGGATCATGAGGAATAAGTTTTATCAAACTCCACATGAGCTTACTCAAAAAGTAACAATCTACAAAGCCATCCATGCTTTGTGCTGATGGCATTTTAGGTAGAGCAAGAATTGCTCCTTGCAAATGGTGCATGCTATACTTTTGCTGCTCTGGAAACCATCATTTCAAGAAAGATGTGCTTTAGTGGATTCATTCTCCTCTAAAAGTAAACCCACATGCCAGAGGTGCACAGGAGGCTGGCCCACAGAAGTATCTCTGTAATTGTTCCAGCTTTGAGTTAATTTCATGGTGGGTGCGGGACTAGCCAGAGGGATGGTGGGGAGGGCAGCAGTGGGGTTTATGGTGCTGGAAACTGAGCAGGAAGTCTTTATCAAGACAGTGAGAGACAGCTTGAGAAAAGCCTCAAGGTCATGAAAGAGAGCCTGGGTCTAAAATGTCAAGAGAAAGAATTAGATAAACCCAAAACAGCTGTCAAAATCAGAATACAAAGGGATGTATCCAGGGCCAGGACACGAGGCAGCTCAGAGCAAAAGAGGCAGAGTAGAGTCCCTGAAAGGACGTGGGCTGGAGTCCACTCTCAAGAGACGGTCAGGGGGTCAGTGAATCAGTTAGGCATAAATCTTCATAGGTGGTTTAGAGTATGTGGAAAAGGTCTCTGCTTTCCTACTAGACTGTAAATCGCTTGGAGGCAGGAACCATATCATATTAACATCCTTTCTGTACACATAGCACAGTGCCTGAAACATAGTAGGTGAGCTGGATAGGTCTCCTGAACATGTAGGACTGAGAGAAAGACACTGGGCTGAAGGAGAGGTCATGGAGTTAACTACCAACTCTACTTCTGCTAAGGTGGGTAGCACCAGGTAAGTTAACTTTACCTCTCTGAGCCTCAATTTCTGAACAAATGAAGAGGCTGGATGATACATGTAATGCCCTTTACAATGTTGTAAAATATTCTGAGTCTAGGAATAATAAATGAATCAGTGAATAAATGAATAAAAGCTATGTTGACAGGGTTATTAACATTCCCATCAGCAAGCTAATATCATAATAGAAGGACATCCCTACAAGTGCTAGAGATATCAAAATGAATGAGAACATGGTCCTCTCCTTGAAGGAATGCACAGGTGGAGGGAGAAGGAAGGACAGATGGCCAAGGAATTACAACACAGTGTCACAAATACCAGCAAATACTATCCTAGAGATAGTGCTACGGGGCCAAAATAAGACATGGTTTCTTTTCTTGGGATAGTCAGGCAAAGTTTCTGATAAAGTTCAACTGTTTGTCCCCTCCAAATCTATGTTGAAATGTGATTCCCAATATCGGAGGTGGGGCCTACTGGAGGGTGATTGGATCATGGGGGCGGATCCCTCATGAATGGTTTTGCACTAACCTCCTTGTTGATGAGTGAGTTCTTGCTCAGTTCACACAAGATCTGGTTTTTGAAAAGTCTGGGGCTTCCCCCGATCACTCTCTTGCTCGCGCTCTTCCCATGTGATATTCCTGCTTCCCTTCGCTTTCCACCATGACTGCAAGCTTCCTGAGGCCCTCACAAGAAGCAGATGCCAGCCCCATGCTTCCTGTGCAGCCTGCAGAACTATGAGCCTATTAAATCTCTTTTCTTTATAAATTACCCAGCCTCAGGTATTTCTTTATGGCAACACAGAAACGGACTGATAGAAGCTTCTCAAAGTAGGAGTGACATTTGCGATGGATCTTGAAAAGATGAACATGATTTTACCAGATGGAGAATGAGGACCCCAGTAAAAAGTCCACGTGACAGAGGGAACAACATGTACCAAAGTTGCACAAGTCAGAAAATATAAGGATTTATCAGTGGAGATCCAGGATTTAATCTAGAAGGGTATGCATTTACTCATGGGAAAGGATGGAAGAGGAGAGGAGGAGAGGGGAAGGGAAAGAAAAAAATGCCATTTTGTGCTAGGGATCTATTTGCTTCCATCTTACCTGCATTGATGAGTAATACTCAAGTCTAACAAAGAAAGCTGTGAAACAGCTAGTATGGCAATGAGCTTCAATTCCAGAAAGCTGAAGCCATGGAATGTGAGTCCTCAGAAGAAATTTAGAAGTCATCTGAGCTCAAATTTCCTAATATGAACATTTCTTTTTCCTTTTATATATCCCTGCCCTGCTGCCTTTTTCTCCTTACCCACCCCCGTTCATCATTCTAGGACTGGAAATGGGATGTGAGAGGGGGCAGGATTTAAGTAGTTTTTGGTTTTCAGCTAAATTTTGGCTGGGAAACACAAATTACACTGAACACTGTCATTTTAAGGATGAGAAAGCTGAGGCGTGGGTAAAGGAAATGACTTTCTCAAAGCCTCAAGCTGGGAAGAAAGCCCCCGTCCTTCTGGTTTTCTGGCTCAAGTCCACAATCCCTAATAACTTCTCCATATGTAACTTCTCTAAACTATGGTGAGAACATCTGCATGCCTCCATCAGCCTTTCTTAACTCAGGACACAGGTGTAGCCAGCCTGCCTCCAGGGCTGGGAACTGTACTTCTGCAGGCCGATTTCCAGGTCACTGGCTGGAATCTTGCTCCAGGGAGGAAGACTCAAGGGCATTGCTGCCCAGATGGCTCTTGTACTTCACCCCCAGCATCAACAGAGACTTCCAAGTGTTCGTCTCAAGAGCCCTTAGTTTATTGTCATTCACTGGGGCTTTACAAATTAAGGAAAGAAATGAGAGAGAGCAAGCATGCATGCATGTGAGAGAGAAGATTCTAATTGCTCTCCAACCAAGTGAACAGAGAACTGAGGTTTGACATAAAGTCCTGGCTCAAACCCTGCCCTTCTCAAATATTTCATATTATTATTATTTTGATTATAATAGCTTTTGTTGATCCTCTCCTAAGTGTTGGGTACTGTGCAGATGGTTTGCCCACATCATCTTTAATCCCTCCAAAATCCCAGAAAGATAGCATTATCCCCGTTTTGTAGATAAAGAAATGAGCCACAGAGAGCCCAAGTCTTATGTTCAAAGTGATACAGCAACAACCTAGCAGTGTCAGGATTTGAGTGCAGATCTCTCTAACTCTGAACCTTATTTTTAAAAGCTGTGTGACCTTGGGCAATGCAGTTTTCTCATCTGTGACACAGCGAATAATAATAAAAATTCATGTTGTGGAAAGACTCCGAGAATAAATAGATCAAAGGAAATAAAATAACTCTTACCTGTCAGGATTGCCATCGGATCAAACGAGTTGATAAGGAAAAGTGCTTTGTAAACTGCAATACACTATCCAAATTTTATCATTATTATTATTTCAAAAAATATGGCTGCACCCGTAAAATAAAACAGTGTGTGGCATATATTTATGACAATATGCCTCAGAAACAATTTCCATTCTGACAGCTTCCCTCCGTATCATGTTATTAAAAGGTTAAGGAAAATGAACAACTGAGGATTAAGATTAGATCTTTCACACATGAAACCACAAAATCAATAGAGCCCCCGTAATCTATCCAGCGATATGAAAAAATATACCGAGGTGCCCAGAATGATTACTCAGGGAAATGTCAACAGGTATTGACAAGGAACCTGGCAAGGCAGCTGTGGTGGAGGCTTGGCCACTGTCTCCTGCACACTAGCGCCCTCCTGGTGAACAGAGACTCATTCTGAGAGCTCAGGAATGGTGAGGGAGCCCAGGAGATGGGCACTTTTCACCCTCTCCAAGTTCTGCAGAATTTCTCTTTCTGCAATTGGGTCAGAGCTGCATAGGAAAAATGATAGCCTAAGCAGCACCATGGAGAGTGTGTGATTACACCTATTTGTGGTCAATATACGGTCCTTTTAAAACCTGCTATTGTTATCCTTATGCTATGATGGTCATTATCACTGTGGCTGAAAATTATTAAGTATTTTGAAGATGCCAACTATCTTTGTGGATACCTGTGGGGCTGCAGGGCCAAGGCTGCAGTCACAAAGCTGTGGAGTTCCGCTCAGAGGGTTTAGTTTTCCCACTTATCTGGAAAGGGTTTCTTGGAGATCTCAGAGGATGGAAGAATTCTGGTGAAGGTTCTGGTGAGGGTTTTAGGTCAAAACTCTGAGATATGGCTAAAAGTGAGATTGAAGTCTGTCCCTCTAGTACTCTAAGATAGAATGACCTTTTGAATAACCTTCATGGTTGCATGATTCTCTACCTGTGTTACCCTCCTCTGGCAGTCCTGGACATGGATGTGGAGTCACAGATGATAATAATGATAGTTATGATAGAAGTAGCAGCTTCCACCTATTGAACACCTACCATGTGTCAAGCACTGTGCAGGAAATTTACGTTTATTGTTCCTAATCCTTATGACCCCTATACAAGAATAATTTTCTCTATAGTGAAGGAACCGAGAATCAGAAAGGCAAAGTAACTTGCCCAAAGTCAGGTAGCTAACAAATGACAGAATTGAGATTCAAACTCAGCCCATTACCCCTCCAGTGCCTATACAGCATCCACTTGGTGGCACTGCCTCTCAAAAATACAAACCCCCAAACCGTAG